>NT_187574.1:0-133535 GCF_000001405.40 Homo sapiens
ATTTAGGAAAAGATCTAGAGAAGTCAAGGTGGGGCCCGGAGGGGATGGGATCAGGGTCCGTGGGAAGCAAGTTCATGTCTTTGCACCGAGGATGGACAGGAGTGTGGAGTGTGGGAGGGAAGAGGAGGAGGAAGCAGCCGAGGGGAGCTGGAGGGGAGGGGTGAGAGGAGGGGCTGGAGGAAAGCCTGGGGTTGTGTGCAGGGACCCACAGAGGACTCAGGTGAGTGAGACCGCAGGCAGGCCGTGAACAGCCCCAATCCCACGACAGAGGCAGCCAAACCCTTTCCCAAAGATGTTTTATAGAGACCTGGCGGGGCAGGGGGGGACTTTGGTCTTTTTCAGACACAGAAGTTCCTTCTGTGACTGAGGGTAAGTGTCTTAGCCTCCTGCCTCAGTTTCCTCATTGCATAACAGGACTGTTTCAGTGTCCACACTCAGAGTGTGAGGGCTAGATGAGGAAATGCACGTGCAGTAGGATGCCACCTGTCTTTGGAATGTCTGCATGTCAGGTGCCCCAGCCCTCAGGATCCAGGACAGGTCTGGCTGCGGTGGGTGCTGGATGGATGCTGAGGAGGGGAGGGACAGTCACTGCATACCAGCCTCTGCCAAAATGGGGAGCCCAGGGGCAGGAGTAGACAGGAAGGACTTCCTGGAGGAGGAGGGCTGGCAGTTTGGGAAGATTTAGATGGGGAGAAAGTGGGGCAAGGGCATGGGGGTGGGAAGTCTGGGAAAAGATGTCCTGGCAGGGTGGAGGGGAACGGAAGTTACGATGGTAGTGGGGAAAAGCATCTGCCCAGGAGCCAATGGTGCAAACACAGTGTGTGTGTGTGTGTGTGTATGCACACCCGTGTGCACAAGCACCTCCACCGCTTTCCCAGCCTCCTAGCCAGAGCCCTGGGGCTCAGCTCAGGCCCTTACCCCCAGCCCCACCCGACCACAGGCTTCACAACCAGAGGCCAAGACCCCGGCAAATGCACATCCCCTCGTCCCTCTCTGTCCCAGCCCCACTGCTCTCCCAGAGCCTGCTGCCATCCCCTCTCTGTCCTCCAGGCCTTGGGTCCTCCACACCCTCCTGCTGCCACCTGGATGCCCCAACCTCCCGTGGACTGTTGGGGTCTCCCAGGGGCCCCCGCACTTCTGTCTGTATGGCTCTTGTCCACTCTGCCCGGCTGACACCTCCGGCCACCCGAGACTGCTCGAATGCCCAGCACCCCACACAGCTGGCACCTCCTCTGCAGACCGCAGCCTGGGAGAGAGGGGAACCCACGGGCCTGTGAGTCTTTCAGATCCTGGTAAACAGTAGGAGCACGGGAAATATTCTGGAGAGAAATCGCCGCCCTCAGCTCCAGTCCCTTGTTCCAGCCTCCTGCTGGGTGCCCGGGGGGAGCGGACGTGATGCAGCTCTCCACCCAGTACCTGGTACCCAGCTCCGTGCGGAGCACGGGGGCCAGCCCTGAGGACTCCTACTGACCTGCAGGTTCGCGGTCCAGAGACGGGGCAGCTCACAGGCAGGGGACGCAGCTCTGACATCCTCAGGTGTTGGAGCTGGGGCCAGGAGGTCATGGAGCTGCAATCCCAACTCAAGGACTGGTTGAGCACTGGCACTGCCCAATAAAGGCCCCTGGTTGAGACTGTGGGTAGGGCCAGGGCTCAACGTGTATCAGGAGTGACCAGGGCCAGGGCTCAGATTGTGTTGAGGCCAGGGCTCAACGTGTATCAGGAGTGACCAGGGCCAGGGCTCAGATTGTGTTGAGGCCAGGGCTCAACGTGTATCAGGAGTGACCAGGGCCAGGGCTCAGATTGTGTTGAGGCCAGGGCTCAACGTGTATCAGGAGTGACCAGGGCCAGGGCTCAGATTGTGTTGAGGCCAGGGCTCAACGTGTATCAGGAGTGACCAGGGCCAGGGCTCAGATTGTGTTGAGGCCAGGGCTCAACGTGTATCAGGAGTGACCAGGGCCAGGGCTCAGATTGTGTTGAGGCCAGGGCTCAACGTGTATCAGGAGTGACCAGGGCCAGGGCTCAGATTGTGTTGAGGCCAGGGCTCAATGTGTATCAGGAGTGACCAGGGCCAGGGCTCAGATTGTGTTGAGGCCAGGGCTCAACGTGTATCAGGAGTGACCAGGGCCAGGGCTCAGATTGTGTTGAGGCCAGGGCTCAACGTGTATCAGGAGTGACCAGGGCCAGGGCTCAGATTGTGTTGAGGCCAGGGCTCAACGTGTATCAGGAGTGACCAGGGCCAGGGCTCAGATTGTGTTGAGGCCAGGGCTCAACGTGTATCAGGAGTGACCAGGGCCAGGGCTCAGATTGTGTTGAGGCCAGGGCTCAACGTGTATCAGGAGTGACCAGGGCCAGGGCTCAGATTGTGATTGAGGCCAGGGCTCAACGTGTATCAGGAGTGACCAGGGCCAGGGCTCAGATTGTGATTGAGGTCAGGGCTCAATGTGTATCAGGAGTGACCAGGGTCAGGGCTCAGGAGGTAAGGGAGCTCAGGGTGCTCTCTGAAGTTAGGCCTCTTAGTGACCATCTTCAGCTGGATCTTGCTGGACCAGAAGCCAGAGCTTTGACCCCACAGGTGTGCCCTACCTGGGCCCTGGAGGGGCAGGTCAGTCTTTCTTGAGTGCCATCCTTTCACCCATGTTTTAAGCCTCCTGTTGACAAGGATCTGGACACAGGATTACATTCCAAGTCCTTGCTCAAAGCCTGAGCCGTCTCCACCCCATCAGCCACGTTGGTTGTGTCCCTGACCCGGACCCGGCCTCCCCTGCAGACCCTCGGGGCTCCCTCCCTAATCCCACCCTTCTGCACGCACCTGGGCCAGGACATGGGCAGTCACAGCTGACAGATTGTTTAGGGGATCAGGAAGCCGGTGGGTGTGCAGCAGATGCCTGTGTGGACATGCACACATGCACACTCATGCCCGCTTCCAGGCAGGAAGACCGGAGGCTGCACGTGGGCAGCGGCGGGTGGTGGTAGTCCTTGACCAGGGTGTGAGTCCAGTTTGTCTTCAACCTGGTGCTGGGAAGTGGGGTTGGGGAGGGTGTGAGGCATCCTGGGGTCCTTGGTGGGTTAGACTCCTGAAACCCAGCAGGTTTCTTGTGTCTCTGAGCCTCAGTTTCCCCTTCCCATAGCTTGGGAAGAAGAGACTGGCATCTCCCCAGGGTTCCTATGTGGGTGACACAGATCAACGTGTCAATGGTTTCCTCACTGTCCCTATCTGACCGCATGGCCCTGCCTGTCTCTCCTCCTCCCTGGAGCCCATGTTTGGGACTTCCACATTTGGTCCCTGAGCCTTCATGGAGTAGCTCCTCTGTGGGGAACCCTGGACCAGGTGCAGCAGGGAGTCGGGAGAGAGCAGATGGACTCCCTGCACTGATGGGGCTCACGGGGCCCTGGGAGAGAGTATCAACTTGGATGGTGACGATCCAGCAGGGCCACAGCTGAATGGAGGTGAGGACGAGGGCCCACGGGGCTTGGGGCACAGTGGCTGCCTCTGCTCAGAGACAGCTTCCCAGACCACACGGCGGCCCAGCTGTGTGTGGGAGGCATAGGAGCTCTCCTGAGGAAAGGCATGGGAAACAGAGGGAATAGCAAGTGCGAAGACCTGGTATGGAAGTAAGAAGTGACCGGAGTGTTGCTTGGGGGTGGTGAGCAGGAGGCAATGCATCAGGCAGGCGGAACCCTGCCCCTCCCAGGCTGACCCCAGCCAGACGGGGAAGGACCTGGGTCCCTGCTGTGGGTGGTGAGTCCCATACATGTCCCTGCCCACCCTGTCATCCTGCAGGGAGCAAACTGATCCCAGAGGGGGTGCCCAGCCCACGCCGTGCAGCACCGCAGGGGGAACCCAGCGTGATAGAGAGCAGTGTCTTAGACCTGGCTCCAGCGCCGAGGCTGCGGCCCAATCGAGGCCGGGTCCTTCCCCTCGAGACTTCAGCCTCGGCTCTCCTGGACTTCAGGGTGACATCACCAGGGTGTTGGGGGTCTTCTGTGATCCTCCTACGAATACTTCTTTTTTTTTCTTTTTAGAGACAGGATCTTGCTCTGTTGCCCAGGCTGGAGTGCGGTGGCATGATCACAGCTCACTGCTGCCTCAACATCCTGGGCTCCAGCAATCCTCCCGCCTCAGCCTGCTGAGTAGCTGGTACTACAGGGGTGTACCACTAGGCCTGGCTAATTTTTAAAAATTATTTATAGAGACAAAGTCTCCTATGTTGCCCAGGTTGGTCTTGAACTCCTAGGCTCAAGCAATCGTCCCGCCTCAGGCCCCTGAGTAGCTGGGTCTATGGGTGGGCACCACTATGCCTGGCTAATTTATTTACTTATTTTTGTAGAGACGGGGTCTCACTATGTTTCTCAGGCTAATCTTGAACTCCTGGGCTCAAGTGATCTGCCTGCCTCAGCCTCCCAAAGCACTGGGATTACATGTGTCAACCACCGTGCCCTACCCACTTCTGTTTTATTATTGTTATTATTATTTAAGATGGGATCTCGCTGTGTCACCCAGGCTGGAGTGCAGTGGCACGATCTCAGCTCACTGCAACCTCCACCTCCCAGGTTCAAGAGATTCTCCTGCCTCAGCCTCCTGAGTAGCTGGGACTACAGGTGTGCGCCTCCACGCCCAGCTAATTTTTTGTATTTTTAGTAGAGACAGGGTTTCACCATGTTGGCCAGGCTGGTTTTGAACTCCTGACCTTGAGTGATCCGCCCACCGTGGCCTCCCAAAGTGCTAGAATTACAGGCATGAGCCACCGTGCCTAGCCTGTTTTTTTTTTATTATTTTTAAAATTTTATTTATTTATTTATCGAGACAGGGTCTTGCTCTGTCGCCCAGGCTGGAGTGCAGTGGTGCAATCTCAGCCCACTGCAACCTCTGCCTCCTGGGTTCAAGCAATTCTCCAGCCTCAGCCTCCCAAATAGCTGGGATTACAGGTGCCGGCCACCACGCCCGGCTAATTTTTGTATTTTTAGTAGAGACAGGGTTTCACTATGTTGGCCAGGCTGGTCTTGAACTCCTGACCTCAAGTGATCTGCCCGCCTTGGCTTCCCAAAGTGCTGGGGTTACAGGTGTGAGCCACTCCTGGCCTCACTTCTATTTTTCAAACCGAGGGTGATGCTTAACCCAAGAGTAGGTGCTGTCAGGCCGAAACATCTGTTCTGGTCCTTGGCTGGCTTTCCCAAGGCCCTGAGTGTCCTAGGGCCTTGTGACTTCCTCTGTGAACTGGAAAACAGCCCCCAACTCCAGTCCCTGCCTGGCTAGGCTTGCCTGAGCAGAGCAGAGGTGAGAGGCAGGAAAGATCCAGCAGCCTCAGAGCTGTGAACGGTGCCAGCCCCGTGATTGACATGTCAGCCGCACTAATAGTATCGCTTCATCTCTCCAGACTCTCCCTTTCCCGGTTTGTCCACTGTTCTGTTTGGAAATAAGGTTGTGCCCTTAGTCATACCTTGATAAGAAGGGAGACGCCCCTGCCTGCCCTCTCTCTTCTGTTCCACCTCCTCTGCCGAACGTTCAGGAGCTCCTCATTCAAAAGACCGTCAGATGAAATGTTTGCTAGAGATAACACTGTGAAGCATTTAGAAACACCTTGCACCAGCCTACTTCTTAAATACTTGTTAAAAACGAGATCACACCCCAAATAGAGTTTCATAGAATATACCTTTTTTATTTTTCATTATTTTTTGAGATGGAGTCTCACTCTGTTGCCCAAGCTGGAGTGCAGTGGCGCAATCTCAGCTCACTGCAACCTCTGCCTCCAGATTTCAAGTGATTCTCCTGCCTCAGCCTCCCAAGTAGCTGGAATTACACGCATGTGCCACCACACCTGGCTAATTTTTGTATTTTTAGTAAAGACATGTTTTCACCATGTTGGTCAGGCTGGTCTTGAACTCCTGACCTCAAGTGATCTGCCCACCTTGGCCTCCCAAAGTGCTAGGATTACAAGCATGAGCCACCGTGCCTGGCCTCTTTTTTAAATCCAGTTTTTATTCAGCAGAATGTTCCGAAAGATCCAGAGGGTAACATGTGGGCAAAGTCCCTGAGCCCTGGCTGGGGTGGCCTGGGTGGGGTTGCCTTCCTCCGACACCCAACTCATGTGGGCCCTGGGCGCCCAGCACCGGGTTCCTTCCCCCCAAACCCATCTCATCTGGACTCTGGGCACCCAGCGCCGGGTTCCTTCCCCCAGGCCTTGAGCCTGGCTTTGCAGCTCCTGCTGCCCCAGGGCAGGTGGTGGTGGCCGCCCAGCCCTCACCCAGCCCCGAGTCCTGTGTGGAAGGCGATTCCTCCCACTTTACCGGGGAGGACACAGAGGCTGAGCGTGGTCACGGCCGGAGCCCCAGCGCAGCATCTGAGCTGCAGGCTGGCCGCCCCCCACCCCGCTGCACCCCCATATTCCACTCACAGACCTTCTTCCTGCTGAACACAGCTGGGCCCTGACGCCTCTGTGCCTTGGCCACAAGGCACCTTCTGCTCACTCAGCTGTCCCTCCAGTCCCCGTAGGGCTGCAGACCCAGGCCCACCCAGTCACAGGCCTGGCAGCGAGGGGGAACAAAAGGGTCAAGGGGCCGCCCAGGGCTGGGAAGGGCCTTGCTCCACCTCGCTCTCCTCCATTCCCCGTGTGGGCCTCCGTCTCCCATTCTGTGAAATGACCCGTTTGGGCCACAGGGTCCCCAAGTCCTCTTGGCTTGGGGCCGTCTGTTCCAAGAGGAGGGGCCATATTGGTCCTTGAGGCCCCTGCGGCCCAGTAAGTCTGCAGTGAGGCCTCCCTGGACGTATATATCAACAAAAAGTCAAACTCCGTAAAGTGTTTGAGACATTTATTCTGAGCCAAAGATGAATGGCCGGGGGCCCATGACAGCCCCAGGAGACCCTCAGACCATGTGTTCAAGGTGGTCGGGCCACAGCTAGGTTTCATACATTTTAGGGGGACACAAGGCATCAATCAATACACATAAGCTGTACATTGGTTACGCCTAGAAAGGCGGAACCACCGGAAGCGGGGATGCTTCCAGGTCATAGGTGGATTCGAAGATTTTCTGATTGGCCGTTGGTTGAAAGAGTTATTGTCGGTAGATAGGAATGTCTGGGTTAAGATAATGGGTTGTGCAGACCGAGGTTTCATCATGCAGATGAAGCCTCCAGGCAGCAGACTGCAGAGAGAATGGATGGGAGATGTTTATTATCAGACTGAAAGACTGTTCTGCCAGTCATTCCAAAAGGGAGGGGGGATAACAAGGTATGTCCGTCTCCCGCTTCCCACCGTGGCCTGAACTCGCTTTTCAGGTTCACTTTGGAATGTCCTTAGCCAAGACGAGGGTCCGTTCGTTTGGCTGGGGGTCTTAGGATTGATTTTCTGGTTTCCATATGCAATGGGAGTGGGGGAGAGATGGGGTGGGGGCAGCCTGAGGCTCAGCCCTGGCCAAGGAAGCCCCCTCCAGGCATTGGCCAGGTTCTGACTCCTACAGTGTTACAGCCGGCAGGGAACTTGGACCCACAAGCTCCTCCCCTCCCCAAGCCTCAGTTTCCTTGTTTGTAAGATGATGCCTGGGGTCCTTGCTTCCTTGTAGGGCTCAAACAAGATCCCAGGCTCTATTAGGAACAGTGCCAAGGCAGGGGGCCCCCAACAGCTCAAGCAGGCTGGAGTTTGGTGCTCACGGAGTAGGGGAAGCTGGTGGCTTCTCAGGCTCATGACATTGTCCCTGCAGGGTGCAGGGCTATTCCCTGGTGGGGCTGGGGGTGTGTGTGGCCATTGGCAGGAGCCCCGATGTTCTCATCCATGAGTCAGCAGAGATGGGAACATCAATTTATTTGAGTGGCTGGTGCAGCCGAGTCCTTGGAGGACAAGGAGTTTTTGCCAAGCCTGGGCCGAATGTGCCAGGGCTTGGGGCAGGGAAACTGTGTCCAGGGACACAGCTTCAAGGGCCCCTGGTTGATGTCCCCAGGGCCTGCTGAGTGCCAGGCCCTGGGACTCAGAGAGGACACCACCCGATGCAGGCCCTGGGACTCAGAGAGGACACCACCGGATGGAGCTGCCCAAAGGGAGTGCCAGTCGGATGTGGGGGTGGGGGAAGAGGAGGGACCAGGATGTGACGGGTCCGAGGTCTCACGGGGTGCCCAGGTGGGCTGGATTTACAGAGCATGGGCGGCCTGCAGGACCATGAAGGGGCAATGGGGGCAGAAGACAGAGGTTGGAGGCAGGGTGGCATGGAGGGTCTCGGGGCAGGGGCAGGAGGGTCTCCAGGGTGGTCAGTCTGCTGCAGTCAGCAGAGGGCACTGGAGGGGCCTGGGCTCAGGCTCCAGGTAGAGCTGACCTAGCCCAGAATGGGCAGGTGAGGGAAGGCCACCGCCTGGTGGGCTTGGCTGTCCCCTCACCTGGACCCCATCGCCGGCCTCTTCCTTGCACGGGGTAGATGCTCATTGATGTGGTGACGTCTAGCAGGAGGATGGCCCTGGGCAGGGCTGTGAGCTGGGAGACCTGGGCTGGGATCTCAGCTTTGGGCCCACACACTGGGATGGAGGAGTGTTTACTGCTGTCTCTGAATGGCTGCAGGAAGGCTGAGGGGGCACATGGTTGATGGGCCAGGCCACTCTGGGCACAGTTGCTGAGAGTCGGCTCTTCCTAAGTGGGGGCACCCGGGGTGGTGGAAGGGAGTCAGATGCCAATTCCCAATGGGTCCTGGTGGTCGTGCCCTGCTGCAGGGCCTTGGCACCCGCCGCCATAGCCATGGAGTCCAGGGGGGCCCCCAGGGGCTGGAAAGGCAGGGAAACAGATTCTCCTTGGGAGCCTCCAAGGAAGCCAGCCCTGGCTAGCACGTCTGTGCTCTGTCTCTGGCTTTGCCTGTTCTGGACATCTCTGGAGGTGTGAGCACCATGTGGCCTTTCGTGTCTGGCTTCTTTCACTTAGCACGGTGGCTTCAGGTCCCTCCGCATTATCGCATGTGCCAGTGCTTTGCTCCTTTTTACACCTGAGTAATCGTCCACTGTGGAGTCATCCTTTCAGCTGCTGAGAGATGCGTGGGCAGTTTCCACCTGCAGCCATCGTGAGTAGTCGGGTGAGGCTGCTGAAGCAGACGAGTGAGGGCACTGCCCGGGCCATTTGGGCTGGAGCGGGGGTTTGAACTCCTCTTTGTGGGACGGAGGCTGTGTTCTTGCCCACACCTCTCCCTGCTCCAGGCCTGTCTTCCCCTTGGGACTGGGACTATGACTTGGTGGCTTCAGCCTCCGCAGGGTGAGCCTGATCCTGAGAGTCAGGCTGGGCTGAGGAGGACGGGTGGGCCTCCTGGGGGAGGTGACGACTTCGGACTGGACCTTGCAGGAGGGATGGGCTGTCTGAGGATGGGAGATGGGAGGAGGTATTGCAGGTTGGGCAGCAGGTGAGGCTGAGCTGGGAAGGGAGGTGGTTGAGGCTGGTTCTTGGGCTGAGTGCTGGGGAGGGGTCGGCCGGGGATCACCGAGAGGTCCCTCCAGGCTGCATGAGCAGAGGAGACACCCTACGGGTGATCTTCTTGCCTTTGTTTCTAGAATTCACAAATCCTACAATTCTAAGCTCTCAGAACCCTTGGATCTGAAGGTTCTCAAATGCTAAGGTTTCTAGATGTTAGCAGACGAAGGTGTCAAGACGCATGGGATCTACGATGCAGAGTTCTGAGTGGGGATATGCGTCCCCCACCCCGACTCACCCCACGACACATATCAGTAACAGCCTCTGCAACTCCGCCTTGGTGCCCCCGCACGTTCCAGGGGCAGCCACACTGATGGATTGCTCAGAACGGGCTGGAGGTGAGATGTGTTTGCCCGGAGCCCCCACACACTGTCGTCTCCAGCTGTGCCTGTCCCTCCCCACCTTCCACTCTGTGTCTCTTCCCTGCCCCCCTTGTGCCCCAGCCCCAGCCCCCCCTGTTCTTTCCTGCCACCCAATCCTGTGCCCCACGACAAGGAGGCTGAGCCCAGGGATGGCCAGGAAGGAACCCCCGGCAGGCTCTCAGGGTGGGAGAGAGGTTGTGGGGATCAGGGGCTTTGCAGAAGGGACAGGGAGGCAGCCCAGAGCACCCCAGCTTCTTGGCCAGCAGCAGGTAACCTGGCTGGAGGGCGGGGCCCCCATGGGCCATCCCTGGGCCAGCTGCCCAGGGCTACCAGGAAGGCAGCTTGTTTTGTAGGAGGTCAGGCAGCGCCCTAACCCCACCTCTTGTCTTCCCTGATGTCACACCCCAGGGTCAGCCCCTTGGGCCAGAATGGGGGTGATGGTGGGAACCGGGAAGCTGAGAGAACAGGGAGGAGGCCGGGTGGGGCACACCAGGCTGTGGCTGTGGGGATGGGGAGATTCCTCGCCTGGGCAGGCCGGGCAGCAGCGGGGCAGTCCTGGGGGGTGTGGTAAATGCTTCTGCTCTCTTCCCCTGACTACATGGGAGCCTCCGTCCCACCTCACCTGGAAAAGGGGCTTGGAACTGGGCTGCTCGGCCTTGGGCACACCAAACGGGGCCCTTGGAGCCCTGGGCTTCCTGGGGTGGCTGGGTCCCCACCCTGCCTCTGATCCATCCTGAGTCTGCATTTCTTCTCCAGGTGCCCCCTGCCCTTGGCCTCCCACCACGGCCTGGGAGTAGATAGTGGGCTGGGGCAGGCCCAGCGCTGTCCTCTGTGGGAAAGGAGGACTCTGGGCCTGGAAATAGTTGAGTGTGGACAGAAATAACCCTGACTGGCCTCAAAACAGAACATGGAAAATTAAATAGGGAACATTAGCATTCACCCCGCGCTTGCCACAGCCACTGTCCCATTTGGGAGGCGGGCGCGCTTATCCTCATTTAGAGACAGGGAAACTGCGGCCCAGAGAGGGGAGGTGACCTTCCTGAGGTTCCTCTGCCAGCCGGCCAGGCCCTGTGACCCCTGTGCCTCTGTGCTTCCACTACACAGCCGCATCTCCACTTCTGCCCCGACAGTTCCTGCTGCAGCAGATGCCCTTCCAGATGCAAACTCCTACGCATCCTTCAAAACCCAGCTAAATGTCACTTCCTCCGGAAAGCCTTCCCCACCTCTCTAGCAGGCAGTTGAGCCCAGCTTACATTTCCGACAGGCCCTCACTGCCCGGGATTGCAGCTGCGGGCTCCTTGAGGGCAGGGATTGTCCCTCATTCATCCTGATTCCATGCCAAGGCTTATAGTAGGTGCTCAATAAATGCTTGCTGAATGATAGATGGGCTGTGTGTGGTGCTAAGTTGAATGCCTTGTCCCTTTCCCACAATTTCATCTCAACCACCCAAGAATTTAGCGTGAGTATGGCTGTTTTACTAAGGAGCAAACAGGCTTACAGAGGTGAACTCACCTGCTCCAAGGTCACACAACAGTCAAGGGCTGGACCTGGGATTTGGTCCCAGCCCCGCAAACACAGCCCCACTACGTACCTAGCATGGGCTCAGGTAGGCCCTAGGGGTGGGCAGTGTATCTGACCACTCGTCCTGTCCACCTTCCCCTGCACCTGTGGCCCCACGGACCCCTGGGCTGGCTCTCAGGTGTGGCATCTCCACCTTCCCCCACAGGCCCAGAACCCACCCTGCTGGGCCAGCATCGTCTCCCAAGGGCTCCCACACAGACACAGTGGGAGCCCCTTCCCTCAGGCTGGCCCCCAACTTGTCCCCTTAGAGGGGTCGTTGGTAAGCACTGTGGCCTGAGGCTTCCTCTGTGAGAGACTTGTGGGGGTCATGCCACAGGGGAAGAGGGAAGTGAATGGATAGAAGGTTCTAGAACTATTAGCTATTGCAGGGACAAGATATGAAGAAAGGATTTCAAATCCTGGTTTAAAGAATCAGCCAGGCACAGTGGCTCATGCCTATAATTATAGCACTTTAGGAGGCTGAGGCAGGAGGATCCCTTGAACCCAGGAATTGGAGACCAGCCTGGGCAACATGTTGAGACCCCATTTCTACTAAAAGTAAAAAAAAAAAAAAAAAAAAAAAAAAAGATCTGACTATGGTTCCATGTGCCTGTAGTCCCAGCTACTGTGGGCATTGGGGTGAGGGTGGCTGTCGCTTGAGCCCAGGAGGTCAAGGCTGCAGTGAGCTGTGATTGCACCACTGCACTCCAGCCTGGGCGACAGAGCAAGACCCTGCCTCAAAACTAAAAACAAACAAAAAGAATCAAGGTTCTGGGGTTCTGGAGTTGTTTCCATCTTTCCGGCCTCCCGCAGTCCAGCAAAGGCCTATGGGTGAGGCAGAGCAAGTGCTGGAGAAGGTGGCAGCAGGTGGCCTGCGGGCCAGTGGACAGGAAGGAAGTGAGACAGCTGGCAGGCGACTCGGAGCCCGGGAGCGGGAGTGGGCTGGAAAGACCCCTGGCCTGGCCCTGCCTTGGCTCCCCAGAGGGTGTCAGGGCCCAGTGGCCACACTGCCCGCTCCCTGGGGCCCCCTGACAGGAGTTCCCACCGACCTCTCCAGGAATCTGGGGCCCGGGCCTTGTGCCCACCTGCCAGGCCAGTCCACCCTCAGCTGAACCACAGTGGGGCAGATGGATACACAGGCAGGGGCGTGGCCCAGCTGTCGGGCCAGGGTCTACTGGACACTGTCACTGTCTCCCTCTGTCCCTACAGGTGGGGCCTGTCCCCTCTGCCTGACCCAAGGGGCCAGAGACCGCCGAGTGACACACACCCAAGCACTCTCTCCCTTGCCACCGGCTTTGGGGCAGGTGCCAGTGATCTGGTTGGCAATGCTCAGGACTGCCTGTCAGGACATCTGAGCCCTCAGGCTGGTTTCTCACTCCTGCCCACACAGCGGTCTCGGCTGCCAGGCTGTGTGACTCGGGGTGGGGGGCTCTGACCTCTCTGGGCTCACAGGTGATGAATGAGGTTTTTAACCTGAGGACCATGGATGGCCGTGGGGGCTCTTGGCTCCCCCGACAAGTGCAAGTGCAGCCTGTCATCCAGAAGGAGAGGCAGCTCCCCAGCTGCCCCCTGACCCCTACACAGCTGCCCAGCCCCAGCCCCACTGCTCTTCGCTGGGGTGACTCCAGACAGGGCATTTTCTGTCTCCCTGCATGCTCCCCACCCATCTCTACAACAGGGAAAACAGTTTCGCTCTGCAAGGCAGCACACCACCTCGGGACCTGGAGAGAAGGCGAAGGTGAGGAGTGGGCTCTGCCCCGAGCTGTGTGCCCCGGGCAGAGTGAGGGCTCACTTCGCTGAGCCTCAGCCTCCTTCTGCTTGGGAGGAGGGCATTATAAGAACCCCTCCTGTCCGGGTATACAGAGGAGGGAGGAGCTAGCCTGCCTGTGCGTGGAGGGTGGAGGGTGGAGGGTGGAGGGCACTTGTACCCGACTCCATCTGCACTCCATCTGCAAGGCTGGCATGGGGCAGGCACACAGTGAAGACGCCCTCACTTGTCCCCAAGTTGGGAAGGCAAAGGAACCTGCAAGGCCACTCAGGTAAGGAGGAGTGCAGACATTCTCTCGAGGCTGTGACCCCTGAGCACAAGCCCTCCCCTAGGTGGGGAAAGAGACCTAGAGGGAGGGGCAGTCTGGAACGAGGTCCAGTCTGAGAACCTCTCCCAGGCCGGTCAGGAAGTCACAGATCCTCTGAGCATTCTTCCAGGATTGCTCAGCTCTGGGGACGACGCCTGGAGAGACAGGCGGCAGAGGAAGGTCGGAGGGTCCTGGTGCCTCTGCAGCAGCTCCCAGGCCAGCAGCGCCACCTGGTGGTCATATGCCCCAGGCACTTCAATCCTGCCGGCATTCCCAGCGGATCAGTGGAGGGGCTGGGGCCAGCTGGAGGGGCTCGCCCAGGCTGGGCTGGGGCCCAGAATGTGCCCCCTTAGCTCTGCCCACCCCTATGTGTGTGCAAGTTCCAGGGAAAGCCCAGAGAAAATAGGGTTGGCCCCAGGGGAATGAGCCCCATTGGAGGGGTCGGCCACTGTGATCATGGTGCATGGATGTAAGTGTGTGTATGGGGAGGCAGACGTTTTGTTGGGAGTGAGACCCTCAGTTATACCTGGCACAGGGTGGGTAGATAAACTGTTGATTGAATTAATGAATGAACGTGCTGGGGACTGTCCAGAGGACAGCCCTGCTCCTTTCATTAGCTCAGTTCAATCACTGATTGAGTGCCAAACACCATGGGAGGACACACACACACACACACACACACACACCAAAAGAAGAGACAGGGTTCACATACACACACACATACACATACTCACATACACACACATACAGACTCACATACACACACAGACTCACATACACACACACATACACATACATACACACACATACAGACTCACATACACACACACACAGACTCACATACACAGACACACACAGACTTACATACACACAGACACACACACACATACAGACTCACATATACACAGACTCACATACACAGAGACTCACATACACACAGACACACACACACTCAAATACACAGACTCACATACTCACAGACACACACAGACTCAAATACACACACAGACTCACATACACACACACTCATACACACACATACAGACTCACATACACATAGACACACACAGATTCACATACACACACAGACACACACACACAGACACACACAGACTCACACACACACACAGACTCACATACACACACATATACATACACACACAGACTCACATACACACACACACTCACATACACAGACACACACAGACTTACATACACACAGACACACACACATACAGACTCACATATACACAGACTCACATACACAGAGACTCACATACACACAGACACACACAGACTCAAATACACACACAGACTCACATACACACACACTCATACACACACATACAGACTCACATACACATAGACACACACAGATTCACATACACACACAGACACACACACAGACACACACAGACACACACAGACTCACACACACACACAGACTCATGTACACACAGACTCATGCACATATACATATACATAGGTACATACACACACTCACAAATGTAAATACATGTACACACACATATACAGACTCACATACACACATACACACATGTACGTATACATACAAACACAAACATACACACACGTGCATACACAGACACACACAGCGACTCACGTACACACACGTACGTACACACACGCACATACACACATCACATATACAATACATACACAGACTCACAAACACACACACAGACTCACATGCATATACACATACATACACATGCACATACATACACAATGTACACACAGACTCGCATACATATACACGTACATACACACAGATACGCAGACACATATACAACCATGCTCCACATAACATCGTTTCAGTCAGTGATGGGCTGCGTATATGACAGTGGTCCTGTCAGATTCCAAATAGCTGAAAAATGGCTGTTGCCCAGTGATGTCCCAGCCATCGTAACACTGTGGCACAGTGCGTTACCTTTTCTATGTGTGGATTTGTTTAGTTGCACACATACTTATCACCGTGTTACAGTCGCCCACAGGACTCAGTACAGTAACACGCGGTACAGGTTTGCAGCCTAGGAGCAAAGGCTACGGTGTAGAGCCGAGGGGTGCTGGAGGCCATTCCATCTGGGTTTGTGTAAGGACAGTCTGTGACGGTCCCCTAATGAGGAAATGGTCTAATGATGCATTTCTCAGAATGTGTCTTGTCAGTGAGTGACGCATGACTGTACATAGGTACATGGACACACACACTCACACATGCACACTGCTGCAGTTTGCACGGGTGCCCCTAGGTTCACATGTCAGAAACTCGATCACCAGTGTGACAGTGTTGGGATGAGGGGCCACTGGGAGGTGTTTGAGTCATGCGGGCACCACCCTCATGAATGGATTAATACGTTATCTCAGGAATGGTTCTTTTTCCCCCAAAGCAACAAAAGGTAAAAGCAGGGAATGGTTCATCATCCTGGGAGTGGGTTCCTTGGGAAAGGACAAGTTTGGCACACTCTCTGTCTCTGTCTGTCTCTCTATCTGTCTCGCCTTCACCACATGGGGCCCCTCCATCTTGGACTTCCCAGCCTCCAGAATTTGTTGAGCCAATTAATTCCTAGTCATTAGGAATTAGCCAGTTTGTGGTGTTCTGCACATGTGGTTATAGCAACAGAAAGTAGACTGAGACACACACACACACACACACACACACACACACACACATTCCTGCATGTACACATGAATGCCTGCGTACATGTAGACACACAGACACGCAGGCATGCATAACATGTGCCTACACACAGATCCACACACACTCACTTAATTCTCGCAACCTTGCCTTAAGGCAGAGGGTGTCCGCAATCTCCCCTTGACAGAGGAGGAAACTGAGGCTTAGGAAAGACACGTAACTTGCTGAGGGGCTAGTGTGATACAGGGGCCTGGCGGCTGGGCCATCCTGTTACCTGGGCTGTATTCTGGAGGGCCTGCTCTGGGTTGGGCTGTGGCAGCCTCTCTGTGATCTCCCGAGTTAGGGTTCTGGGAGCTCCCCAAAACCCTTCCATAGCTTTGTTCTGGAGAGGATGGTTGAGGTGGGGGATTCAGACTCCTGGACCTCAACCCTGCACCCCCACCAGGCCACTAAGAGGGGCACCCGTGGGGGTGAGTGGAGGACCCTGACCCCAGGCCACTGGTACCGCCTGGATGCCTGCAGTACACAGGGGATCCGATGTCCTTCAGCCCCCAGGCTGGCCCCGATGTGAAGTCTGATGGGTGTTGGGCCCCCGTGCTGCCCCCTTCCCCCACAGGTAGCTCATTTGCTGAGTTTCCAAGCAGAATAGTTTGTAAAATGTGCAATGCATTTGGGAGGGGATGAGCCTCTCATGGACAGTAGGGCAGGTACCAGGAGAGTGGTGGCCCCAGCCCTCCCAGTCCCCTGGGAGCCCCACCCAGGCACACCAGGTTCAGATGGTCAGTGCCTGTTCCCCCAGGAACTCTTGGTGGCTGAAGATGCCTGTGGACTCCCATTATGTAAAACACCGAGGATTCCCAAAACCCAGTGATGCTATAATGTCATTGAAATAGTGAGCACATAGATGATGTGGCATTTCCCGACTGGCCCTTGGGGTCAAGTGGTAGTCCGAAGGGCAGCTCTCACCGGGTGGTCAGACAGCACGCTGGACACCCAGGGGCCCCTCGATGCTGTGACACGCCAGGGAGGCACCCGGGTCCCTGATGTTCCAGTGCAGGACAAGTGACAGCCCACCTGGCCCACTCCTCCCCCCAGGTTCATGCCCCACCCCCACTCCATCTCAGCAGAGTGTCCCGAGGCCTCCCTGGGTTGTGGTGCCGGGCGAGTTCCCCTCTCTGTCCAGGACTCCCACGCTGGTGCCCTGGGAAGCTGGGGGGCTGTAGGAGAAGGACAGACTCAGAGCCTGGGGCTGGCTTATAAACACAAGAGCTTTTCCCACGTCAGCCCTTGGCGTCAACTTGTGAGGGCGTCCCCATGCAGGCGTGATAGGCAGAGGCTGTGCTGAGGGCCGGGGCAGCAGAGGAGGTGGGCAGGGCCCAGAGGCACTGGGTGGGTGCCTCGCACACCAGGGCTAGGGAACCATTTGTTCTAAGCTCTGGATTACAGATGGGGAAACTGAGGCCCAGAGAGGGGCAGGGACATGGCTGAGGTCTCGGGGGACCCCTGAGCAGCCAGGCCTCCGCTGCCTCCCTTGGGCGGGTGTGAGGGGCACCTGCGGTTTGGTGTTAGGCTCCCACCTACAGGGGCAAAGCCCAGGCTCAGAGGTGACCTGGAATCAGCGAATCAGGGGCCGAGCTGGACTAGGCAGGAGGGTGTGTGGTTGCAGCAGGTGAGCTCATCTGTAAAACGGGGGTGCGACACCCCTGGCCCTGCCAGCCTGTCCAGGTCTGCGCGGCACTTGGCGCTCCCAGCACCACACCCTCCAGGAGAGGCCCAGCTGGGAGTCATCTGGAAGAAGTCCCTCCTGGCCCAGGTGGGCAAAGAGAGGACCAGGAGGGAATGACGTCGAGCACCTCTTCCTCATTGGAGCCCTCCTGGGTGACCCCGTCCTGTGCCCAACACGTGACTGTTCTCCCTGGGGCTGGCCACGTGGGGGTAGGATCTGAGCACCCCTGCAGCTGAGCCACGAGAGCACAGGACTCCCCAGGGCTCTGCAGGGGGCCTGGCCTCAGCTCCAGCTGAGTTCTGGAGAGGTGCTGCAGGGGAGAGTTAGGTAGACACACCTGGAGGCCCAGAACTAGCCGAGGGATGGTGAAGGGGTCATCCGTGCTGAGTCCTTGAGGGCTCAGTGAGGCCGAGGAAAGGTGGGGCAGGGTCCAGTCTGGAGGGTGAGGCTGGGCCTTGTGGCCTGTCCTGGGGTGGGGGTGGGGAGGAATCAGTTTCAAGAGGCAGCCCCAGGAAGAGTAGGGGCAGAGGAGGGGGTGGGACTTGACAAGCGGAAGGCCCTGGCTGGGGCTGGGCACAGGCTGCTGGGCCAGTGGGGCGGGGGCCAGGAGTCATGGAGCAGGTGGTCCGAGGAGATGGGGTGAGGGACCATCCAGGGGGAGGGAATGGCAGGGGACAGGACTGGGAGCAGGAGAGTGTGGTCTCATGGGCGGAGCCACTTCCCCAGGCCTGTCCTGGCCCTCCAGCCGCAGCCCCTCCCCTCGGCCCCTCTATCTCCTCCCACCTTTCCTACTCACCCCTCCACTCCCTCCTGCACCTGGGCCCGCCCCTCCACAGCCAGAGACGTTCTGCAGACGCTGAGCTTGACTGCCCCCTCTCCCTGGCCCACAGCTTTCTGGTGGGGGGTCAGGATGTAGGGGGTGGCCTTGACCCTGGAGTCAGGCAGGGCTGGGAGGGGAATTCCAGCTCCTTTTTGAGGTGGCGCCTGGGAACGCTGGGTTGGTCCCATGATGTCTCTAAGCCTCAGTTTTCTCCGCTGTGAATTGGGTGCACAGACCCCTTCGGGTGGGGGCCCAGCTCTGGAGGGTGGGCGGATGTGGCCACGTGGGTCCCCTCTCATCCCGTGAGGGGTGGGGAGCACAGAGCGCTGGGCTGCAGAGGCCCTGAAGGAGAGAGGAGGGGCTGTGTGTGAAGAGGCAGGGAGGCTGGAGTCAGAACTGCTAAGCCAGGTGGCAAGCAGGGTGTGCGGGTGTGGAGATAGGGGGTGTCCAGCTCCAATAGGGCACACGGTGGGGGTCTCCAGCGCAGATAGTGCACCCCCACCCCGCTCCATGCCTTCAGGCCTCCAGGAAGCTGGGGCAGGCACCCAGGCGACATTTCCTGCTATTAATGGAGCTTTAATCTAAACAGGCCCTAATATTTACATCCAGACGCCTCCGGCTGCCGCGGGTGCCAGACTGTGGGAGTGATGAGCCCCCAGACAGCGCCTCCCCACCCAGAGCTCTGCTGGGCCAGACCAGAGACCGAGAACTGGGCACCTGGGGGCCCTGGTTTGAGCCCCCTCCCTGACCACCCCCAAAGCCTAAGTTTCTCCTCTAGGAATGGAGGTGGTCATCTCACCCTCCCAGGTTCAGTGAAGGGGCCACTCAGTGGCACTTAGTAGGCCCACAGGGAGGCCAGTGCTCCCTCTCCCTGGTGTGTTGGACCAGCTGTCCTATCCCCTCCCTCTCCCTCTAGGCCATATCTCTGCTGATATGATAGGACTCAGTGGCTGTGGGTGGTCTGGCTGCCTCGCCCACCTCCACGTCCTTGCCCTGGGTAGGCAGGTTCGGGATCAGGGATGGAGCGCCTTGTTCTGCTGGTCCATGCCCCCCACCCAGCTGCTGTGCCCACACCCTGCTGGCAAGTCAGCCACTTGTGCCCCCTCCATCCCCTGCCCATCAGAGCTGGGCAGGGCTCAAGGCCCCTAAATCTGCCTCCCAGCAGGGATGACAAAACCACAAAACCACTGCCGCTGCCTCCCTGTGGAGCCCTGCTGGTCCGCAGGACACAGAGTTGGGGCGTGCGTAGGGCTGCCACCCTGCTCCATACCCTCCGCCAGCTCCATGTCCCCCACCAGCCCAGGACCAGAGTCGTGGGCAAGAATAGAATAAACAGCTTTAATTCCAGACGAGGACATCTCGTGAAGGAGATTGTTTACGTCGGATATAAATACACACACCATTTCACGTCACTTGGGCGTTTTGAAAATCTGGAAAGGGAGATCATGGGGAGGGGGCGCAAAGATCTCACGCCCTGTCCCCGTGAGTGTGGAGAGGGGGCACGCACAGATCTCACCTCTGCCCCTGTGGGACCAAGGACAGTCTTGGTCTGACTTTTGAAGCTCCTGGGCCTCGGTGCCCACAGAGGAGGCTGAAGTGGGAAGGAGCCGGCCGTCAGGAGAAGGAAGCAAGCAGCCGGGGGAGCTGTGGGGCCCAGTCCAGGGCATTGGGGTGACCCCCTTCCCCAGCCCCCTGCCCTCCAGCTGTAAGGCTGAGGAGAGGAGAAAGAGGAGTGGGGTGTGGAGAAACTGAGGCTTGCCTATCAAGGGTTCTGCATCGGGGGCTGGCAGGCAGTTCTCAGAGGTCTGAGGGTGGGCCCCAAGCCTGTGTCCCTGGCCACAGAAGACAGGCGGCCTGTCCTCTCCAGCATGAGTGGTAGTGGACGCACTTGCCGCTTCGGACAGGATGTCCTTCCCCTCCCGGCCTCTTACAGTCTGAGAAGCCTCTGAGGCCCGAGGAACCCAAGTTGAATGATTGGATTTCAGATGTGGGGACAAGGAGGGGACCTGGCTCACCTGCCTTAGAGACCCCTCCTCCTGAAGAAAGGGATTGTTCCAGAAAAATTGCAAGCCCTGCCTCTTCAAGCACAGCAATCCTCAAGTGTCAGCCATTCACTCTTTAGCGTGAATTAGAGTGACAACCAGGAATGGAGCCAGGCTGGGGGTCATTGATGGGGAGGCCAAAGGCCCGAGGGGCACGTAACACCGGTGGAGGAGGGGCAGGGAAGACTGGCGGGGAAGGGGCCGGGAAGACTGGTAGGGGAGGGGAGGGGCTGGGAAGCTGCATGGAAGGCCCTTCACTGGCCCCAGCGAGGCGGGCGCTTGGCCTTACCTTTGCCCAGGCCATTCCCCCTCATCTTAGCACTCCTTCCCGCTGGCCCCTGCCTCCTTGCAGCCCTGGGCTGGAGAGGTCTTCACAGTACAGTGCGGGACCAAGGGCAGAGGGGTGTCATACTCTAGGCCACGTGCAGAGCTTGCTTGAGGGGCGGGAGTGGGAGCCGGCAGGTAGTCTCTGGGGCTTGGGGCGCCCCCTAAGATGGAGCAAGAGGATCCACAGCTCCTGGAGGAATGGAGTCCAGAGTCCCTGGCCCTGGATGACTTGTGAGCGTGGGTGGAGGGGTCCCAGGTAAGCAAGGCCATTCAGGGACTGCTGGGCCACATGAGCCTGGAAGAAGCTCATGGCTTGGGCTGGGCAGGACACCTGAGCCCTGACCCCTCACTCCTCAGCTCTAGGCATGTGACCACGTGGGTGCCAGCTCGCAGCCCTGGGAATGATGGCTCGCTGGCTGTTGGTGCCTGCTTGCCTGAAAGTCGCCGTGAATGCTGCACCTGTGGTCAGCGGGGTTTTTCTGCATGCACAGCCCTGTCCCCCAGCCACGTCCTTTCCTGAACGCTGGGCCCCTCTGCCTTGTGGAACCCTGCATCCCTGGTAAGCCACGGCCCCTCTCTGAGCAGCACCCGAGAGCTGGGGGCTGGGGGAAGGTTCCAGAATTGTGCCTGGTGCCTGGTAAGTATCAAGAATGCTGGCGGCCATGGTGATACCCACTGCTTCTCGGGCATCCGGACCCAGGGAGGAAGTAACCCTGGCAGCACTCCCAGTTCCACCACCTTGCGGGGCACGCCTCTGACTCCTCTGGGCCGGTGCCCCCCACCCCAGCTGCTCCACATGGCCACAGCTGGGGTTGGTGAGGACAATACTGGCCTTGGATGACTCAGGCACTCACTCTATGACCTTGGCAAGCCCCTTTCTCCCTCTGAGCCTCAGTTTCTTCATTTGTAACATGGGGATATAAAGTCCAGGACCCTAAACTGGGGTCAGGAGACTCTGCCTCGAGCTGAATCGGGGAGCCCCGGCCTTTTCCTCCTCCTCCCCCTCCTGCTCCCAGCCACACAGGCCACGGTCACCCTGAGTGTGTAGGACTTCTCTGTAGCCAAAGGCCTGGCCTGAGGACCTGAGCCCATCTCGCCTGCTTCAGTGGCTATGGCCAGGTCTGATGGCAGGGCCTCAGAGCCGGAAGTGCCAGGGATGCCCCACACTCCTCTTCCTCACCACAGGCTCCCTTCCCCATTACCAGTCCTGAAAGGGCTGGGAGCTTGGACGCTCGGCAGAAGGCACGTGGGAGGAAATCCTGGAGTCCAGCTCTGAGGAGATGATCAGAGGCCCCAGCCAGAGAAAAGCTCCCTCCCTAGTGAAGGCATGGGGACTCATAGTGAGCTGGGCCAGAGCAGCTGGTCACGTCCTCTCTGCCCCCGGGGGGAGGAAAATGGCTGTTTGCATGGGGAGATGGTGGCCACAACCCGGCATGCCTGGGTTCACTGCTGCGTGACTTTGTTCTTGGTTTTCTTATCCATAGGATGGGGCTGTGAACACTGCCTCTACCTGGGGCAGCAGGTGAGCCATTCTGAGGCCATTCCTAGAGTGGGGGCTTTGGGATGATCGTGCACTCTCTGTGGAAGGAGGTGCAAGGGCACTGGAGGAGGTGGGGCTGGTTTTCATTCTGACCCTGCCATTTCCCAGCTGTGGCCCCTGTGTGTGTCACTTGACCCCTCCAGCACCAAGAAATGGATGAAAAGTAGCGTCTCCTTTGTGGGTTGTTGTGGGTTCAAGTGTCAACCTAGATATCACAGTGCTTGCTCACAGCAGAGCGGCCTGTGGGTGTCTGCCGTTTTATCGTGCAATTCACGGAGGCCTCAGGTGGGGGGGTCTTGCAGAGACATGCACCCCCCCCCACCTCCATTAATGCAACACGAATGCTCCCTGGCCTTTTCTTTCTGTCCTTGTCCTTCCTCCTGTGTGTGTGTTGGAGGGAGCATTGTTGTTGTTAGCTCTCTCGGGAATTCAGGTTGTTTCTTAACTCTCTTGGGAATTCCCAGCACCTAAATAATCTTTGTCCTTTTTTCTTTTTTCTTTTTCATCTCATCCTTCTAATCAATGGAATCCACTGTGCCCTTTTTTCTGAGGAACTCCTTCTGGAGACAAACTGGCCAAAGTGAGGAGCAGCTCCCGGCTACCCCTGTGAGTTTTCAGTGGACGTGCTATACCCCAGGAACAGCAAATCACCGGCATTCAGGCCACCACATCCCATCGGAGCCAGTGGCAGACATTGCTAATCAACCACAGCACAGTGGCCTTAGACGCTCAATGCGGTGCTCTGGGTAGCCATCACCAATCAATCGAGATGGAACCGATTGCCACCCCTGGCATGGTGGGTGTCCACGCTGGCATGCCCAGATGAGTCCTGACCTTCGGCCCCTGGCAGAGCCCTGCTGACTAAGCCTCGGGCCCATTAGCCAGGGCCTGGGTGAGGGCGTGAGGGCCGGCACTGAGGATGTGATGACGGCCTGAGCCCTTGGAGCTCCTGTGCATGCTGACCACGTCACCGCTGCTGGGCTCACGCTCTCCGTGCTGGCCGAAGAGGCCTCGGACGGTGGCCTGGAAGCCACTGGTGACGAAGCAGTAGACGATGGGGTCCATGCAGCTGTTGAGGCTGCTGAGGGTCACGGCCACGTGGTAGACCACGAGGCTCGTGTGGTGTGGCATGTCGGGCCACAGCGCCACGGCCACTTGGCGGGCGTGGAAGGGCGTGAAGCAGACGAGAAAGATGATGAGCACCGTGAGCAGGAGCTGCATGGCCCGCACGCGGCGCTGGCGACCCTGGTGGAGCAGACCCGGCCGCGACAGTGCACACATGATGCGGCCGGTAAACACGCTGATGACCAGCAGGGGCAGCAGGAACTCCAGGACAGTCAGCGCAAAGACACGGCAGCAGGGCCGGCTGCCTGTCACGCCCAGCACCGACAGGGTGACGGCACCGGCGGCCAGCCACACGAAGGCGCACACGGCCCTGGCACAGGCAGGCTGGCGGCAGCGGCGGGAGCCTTCGGGCCGCACGATGGCCAGGTAGCGGTCCACGCAGATGCAGGTGAGGAAGAGGATGGAGCAGTGCATGTTGAGGAAGTAACCGAGGACGTGCGGGAAGGCACAGCGCAGGCAGCCCCTGGCGCCGTAGTACACAGCGAAGCGCGTGGGCAGGGACAGCCCTACCAGTAGATCGGTCACCACCAGGTTGATGGTGTAGATGACTGAGGGTGTCTTGGCCCGGGTGCGGCAGCAGAAGACGTACAGCGCCAGCCCGTTGAGCACCAGCCCTGCCAGGAAGATGGCTCCGTGCACCGCCATCAGCGCCAGCCACAGGCCTGGGAAGGTGCCATGCAGCTCCTCGTCCAGCCGGGCAAACAGGTGGAACAGGGGCACCTCCAGCCCGCTGGCATTGGTCCGCACTGTTGTCACTGCGGTGGCATTGGGGACTGCCCCGGCCGAGGGCCCCGCTGGAGACACAGAGGGCATGACGGCAGCCAGCACACCCCAGGCCTGGAAGCAAGGAGACCAGGTCACCCCAGGCGCCAGCCTGGCCTTAAGCCCTGCCCTGAGGCCCAGAACTCAGCTGGCCCGTCTGCCCCTGCACGCCCAGCATCCCCCTTCTCCATGCCCTCGCCTGGCTGGGGCCTCAAATGCCTGCTCCCTTGGCTCTACCCAGAGGGAGCCTCGGACAGCAGCAGAAAAGGCACAGGCTTTCAGAGTCAGACGCGTGTTCAAATTCCAGGACTGGCACTTGCCAGCGTGGAGACTCGACAAAATACGGAGGTTTCTGCGACCGTCCTGGCACGAGGGGGAGGCGGAAACACGTGCGGTGCAGGGCTGTCCTCGGGATGGAGAGCTGATAAGGGCAAGACCACGGGGCTCCAGTGTGCAGTTCCAGGGCCTGGCTCCAGCCCCAGCTGTGCCACTGACTAGTGTGCTTGCTCGGGTAGGCCACTTAACCTCTCTACCTGCTTCCTAATCCATGTCACTGGGATCGCGTTGCTGCTGGGGTGACTAAGCAAGCGGGTCAGCACGGCAGCGCCAGCAGAGTTGGTGGCTGATGACCCAGTTCTGCTGGGACAGAGCCTTGTTCATGGTGGGGACCTCTGACTGCCCTGCCCACTCCCCTGTCCCCACACCCACCGTCATGGCCCCCATCCTCCGGGACCACCCATCTGTTCTCCCCTCCTCCTAGGCCAGCATCAGGTCAATGCCCTGGATGGGGGTCCTCATGAGGGACCTTTACAAAGGGAATTAGGCTGTCCAGTGGGGCTGCATGGGAGCCAAGGACCAGTCTCACTGGGCACCCCAGGCTCCTACTGGCCCTGAGAGGCGGGCACCCCTATGATCCCCCCAAACTACAGAAAAGGAGACAGAGGCCCCTGTGGGGTGGCTGGTTGGGGCTGAAGCCTGGAGCCAGAGTGTGAGTCAAATAAACACCGAGCTCCCGTCTGGCCTGGGCAGGGGGGCCAGGGTGGGGGGCGGGCGAGGGGCTGTGCCGGAGCCACCCACTCTGTTTATGTTCCTGCCCTGGCGTGTTTAACTCGGCAGTGATTTATCCCTCTATTTATAAATGAAGGGTTAACGGCCCTACCCCCACCCTACAGCTGGGCTGACCCTCCAAATAAGGGCATTTCTGGCTTTTTCAGGAGAAAGGAGAAGTCTTTGGGGCCAGCAGGGTGGGGAGGCTCGTGGGCCGTTTCTTCTGCACAGCGCCCCTCCCCCACCTGCTGGAGAAGGGAGGACACTTACCCCTTCCCCTCCTGGTGGCCCCTGCTGTAAACAGGCTGTGCCCCGCCACTCCCTCTGACCAGTGCGTGGCCCCATCCCACCCCTGGGGAACAATGAGCCCTGCCTTCAAACAGCCCCTGGCCTGGCTCAGGGCAGCAAAAGAACTCTTGCTTTCAGAGGGCCAGGTCCCTCCAGTCGGCGGCCACCTTCTTCCTCAGAGTCAGAGAGGTCAGTGCCTGCATGAGGTCACCCAGCATGCCCTCTGCCTCTGGGACCCCAGCCCTGGGTGCGTGCTACCCTGGAGGCTGCTGGGAGGAGTCAAGTGCTGCCCAGGCCTGTGCCCAGCCCCTCCTGCCACCCCCACCACACAAGGGCCCAGGCTCAGCTCCCAGCTCCCCCCGACTGCAAGCAAGCTCTCTATCTCCAGGCCCTGACACGCGGGCATTGATGGGTGCATTTGTTGGATGAATAGGTCTGTCCTCCCTCAGCCCAGGTGTGCCACCAGAGACGGGATTTGGGGGCACAGCAGGCAGCCAGGGGAGGAGAGGAGGCTGGGCACATGGGGGCTGGGAACCTGGCGTCTCAGGGCTGTGGGCTTCAGGAGCCCCAGAAGGTCCCCCCGAAAGAGATGCGTCCCTCCCCTGCTGTGGATGAAACGCTCTCAGAAAAGGTCGAGGCGGCTTTGCAGCTGGACTGAGGGACTGCATGGCCAAAAAAGTATTTTGGGATTCCTTTCTATGTGCCTTTTGCTTTTCCAATTTGTCTGCACGGGGCCTATATTAGTGTCCCAATCAGAGACAAATCATAAACAACACAGAACGTTTCCTGTGGGAGTGAGTCCCAGGGTGATGCTGGCCCCTGGGAATTCTGCTGTCCCAGAAAACTCCCCAGGGCCAGCCCAGCAGGCTCACCAGCAACGCTGCGGTGCTGGGGTCCTGGCTAGGGATGTGGGGGCTCTGCGGTCTCTGGAGCTGGGGGGATGGGCAGAATGTGCTGGACACCCCAGAGGCCAGACCGGAGAGGAGAGGGAGCTAGCAAAGCATGCTCTGATTCCCCGCACTAAGGGTCTGACCCTGATCTCAAACAAAGCTGAACCCTCATCTTGGTCACACACTGAGCCATGATCCCAGTAATGTGATGAACCTCGATCCCTGTCCCACTCTGAGCCCTGACCCTGGTCACACACTGACCCCAATCCTAATAGCACAATGGGCGTTGATTCCTGTGGCGCTCTGAGCCCTGATCCCAGCCACGACCTGGGCCCTCAGCCCGGACCTTCTGTCCCTGTCTCTGCCCTCCTCTCCCAGCTTCGTCTGGCTGTCTCTGTCTCCATATTGTCAACCCCCACCTGCCTCCCACAGCGACGGATGTCCCGATTCGATTATTACGGGGCCTCTCTGGGGCTCCCACTCACCACCCTCTTTGTTCAGAAGGAGGAGGAATGCAAGCGGGGACTCTAGACCCTGCAGGGGCCCATGGAAGTGGCTCCCTGGCGAGTGCCTGGGGAAAGGAGAAGGTTCCGCCCCTCCTGGGACAGCCTGGCTCTGCCTGTGGGAGAGGCACAGACTCTGCTCTCCGGAGGGCCCGGGTGATGAGCAGTCACCAGCACAGAGACCCGGGTTTGAGTCCAGCCCTGCCACTCCCTCAGCTGAGACCTGGGCCTGGTCAGTAGGCTGGCCGTCCTCATCTGCTGAATGGGGTCACTCGTGCCTTCCACAGCTCTGCCTCGCCCTGGTAGCCTGGACTGAGGGGAGAGGCATGGTTTTACCCTCAGAGCCGGCCGGAGAGGGGAGGCAGGGCCCTGTCCCCAAGCCTAGTTTCCCTAAGCCAAACCTGGGTGTGGGGGAGATGGTCCTGTCTCCTCCCTCTTTCCTGGCAGGCACCCTGGGTCTGTCTGAGACAGCAGACTCCATGGCGGGGGCCAACTGGCCAGAGTCTCATGGGCAGGGACTGGCACCGTGTCCTGATCGTGCTGACATGGTGTTGGGGCTCAGGGCCTGGAGGCTGTGCCAGGGCTGGGAGGTTTCTCTTTTCCACTGGCCCAGGCCAGCTCTGCTCCCCACCCACACACAGGTACTTCCTTGGGGACAGAACAGAGGGAACGAGGGCCTGCTCTCCAGGGCTGAGAGTCAGTGAGTGGAGACCCAGCAGGGTAGGGACCTGGAGTGTGGCCATGGAGCCCTGGCTCTGGCCTGGATGGCCCTGCCAAAGCCTGGCTCCATCTCTGAACGGACTATGTGGCCTTACAGTCTCTGAGCCTCAGTTTCCTCATCTGTAGAGTGGGCAAAATAGAATCTCCCCTGGGGGTTCTTGTCCTGATGTGCCAGCCCAGAGTAGGGGCTCAGACACAGGAAGTGATGAAAGTATGGGACAAGCTGCCAGCGGGGGACCCAGAGGGCGAGGGGGCGAGCTCTGCTCCAACCTGGGTGTGCAGCCTAGACCAGGTCCAGCTCCCACACTACTCACTGCCCCCGCCAGCCTGGAGGGAGGGCTCTGACCTGGGTGGGTCCTCTCTGAGCCTCAGTGTCTCCTCCTGTGAAGTGGGAATGGCCGGACACGCTGCCCTGCATGGCTGTCTTGGGCCTTGGCTGAACAGAGCACCTGCTGCAGGTGTGGCGGGGCAGGGGCAGGTGTGCTGCGGCATCTCTTTCTTTTCTGTTTCTGGCCCACCCTTCCGGGTGGGCAGACCCCCAGAGCCCCCACCCCTCCAGGTGGGCACACCTCCCAGAGCCCCGGCCTTTCAAGGCTTCGCTGAGCTCCTCCAGGGGAGGGGGCAGAGGGTGAAGGAGGATGTCCCTCATGCCCTCCCCGTAGGTATCACATCACAAAACAGCCGTCCTAGGCGGGGCTGCCGCTGGGTTGGGGGTTCTCCCTGGGAGGGGCCTGAGGCCTGGACTGCTGGGCAGGGCTGGGGATGTGCCTCTCCAGTCACTGCACCTGACTGATGCTTCTGCAGGCGAAACTACTAGCGGGGCCTAAACACTCCATGCGCCCTCCAGGCCCAACCCCAAGCTGTTCCTGCTCTCTCCCTTTCGGCTTATTCATGCCCATTTTTAGGACTTCCCCCTGGACTTGCCTCCTTAAGGAAGCCTTCTTCCTCCCTGGGCTGCCTCTCTCTGGTGCATCCTCCCAGGGCACCCTGCGCTTCCTCAATCCCAGGGTTCATCCCACGGCGCTGCTATGTGCTGCAGGCTTCCCTGTTGGACTCTGAGCATCTTGAGGCGGGGCTGTGGGTGGGGGCTGAGCTCCCATCTGTTCCACCAGCCCAGCACCCAGATTGGCCTGGCAGAGAGCAGCACCCGTCTTCCCCCTTGTCTGAATGAACGCCCTGAGCAAGCCTCATCAGGGCTGGCAAGGTGTGGCCTGGTTTCTCAACCTGGCATTCAGGGTGAATGCCACCTGGCCTGGCCCCCTCTGAAACCTGCCTACCCAGTGTCTTGGTACTGGTCTGGAATTGGCTTCCACCCCCAGCCCCATCGTCACTACCCATGAGTCCTCCCAGCCGAGCAAGGCTGACACCTCCTCCCGGAAGCCCGTCCTAATCACTCTGACCATTGTGTCCACACTTACATTCCTTCCCACCCTCTATCTCCCATCACCACTCTTTCTTTCTTTCTTTTTTTTTTTTGAGACGGAGTGCTGTGGCGAAATGTCGGCTCACTGCAACCTCCACTTCCTGGGTTCAAGTGAGTCTCATGCCTCAGCCTCTGGAGTAGCTGGGATTACAGGTGCCCGTGCCACACCTGGGTAATTTTTGTATTTTTGGTACAGATGGGGTTTCACCATGTTGGCCAAGGTAGTCTCAAACTCCTGGCCTCAAGTGGTTTGCCCACCTTGGCCTCCCAAACTACTGGGATTACAGGCGTGAGCTACTGCGCCCGGCCCCATCACCACTCTTGATAGCAATGGTCTTTGGTTTGCAGGCCAGCTCTACCACCCGCCACCTTCGAGGCCTCGGGCAAATCATTTCATCACTGGGAGCCTCAGTTCCCTCACCTGGGACTTTGGGAACCATATTTGTTGAATGAATGAATGAAATCAGGCAGGGTGGCTGGACTAAGTGAGAAATACTGCAGACACCCCCAACATGGGAGGCGTGCGATATAAGAGCACGGGAGGCTCCTGGTTTTGGCACCTGGATGGGGCCCTGTGTGGACCAGCCCGCTCACACGTGGGGAGAGGCCAGGGCCAACACGTGTGCTCAGTGCAGGACTTCTCAGAGCCTTTGTGAAACTCACGGTCCTGGGAACTTCCAAGGGGTGGGAGCGAGCATCGAGCATGGAAGCTATTTGACCCTGTCCCCTCCCTGGGGGTTCCTGCTCCATCCATCCCAATGGCCACACCACTAGTCCATGCCCAGAGCACTGATGGGGGCTGCTGCCTCCCTGCCCTCACCCACAGCTTGTTGAATTTCTGCTGGGCACCCGGCCATGGAAGGCCAGACCCCTGGGCTTGGGGTGCTGGCACCTGCCCAGAGGCCTCCAGCGGGGCACCAGGGTCATGCCGGCCTCCGTCCTTGGCCGGTGGGTGGGGAGGGCTATGTCCTCTCTTCCCTGGGCTCCTCTCAAACCCACCCCACCAACCTGGGAGTTCTCTCTTGGCTGCCCAGCAGCCTGTCTGCCTCTGTCCTGCCACATGTGAGACCAGGCAGCAGAGTGGCCCCGGCCCCAGGGCAGCAGATGGCCCAGGGTGGCTGTTGAGCCTGCCTGGGGGTCTGGCTCAGGACCCTGTGTGCTGTCTGTGGACGTGTGGAGGACGGGCCCAGCCTTTTCCCCACAGAGGGGCTCTGAGCACCTGCTAAGGGCGCTTTGCATCCACACAGCAATCCCAGGTTTTACAGATGAGGAACCGGAGGCCCAGAGGGGTGAGTGGTGTCCTCACGGTTACCCAGCATGGAGCTGGTGGGGCTGGGAATCAGACCCAGGTCCACTGGCAGGACCCGGCACAGGCCGGAGTGGAGCAGAGTGCGGGCTGGGGAGCAGAGGGGCTGGATTAGGCATCTCTGGACCGGGAGTTTGTGCACAAGGGGATTCTCCGGGCCCTGAGGCCGCATGTGTGACCACGGGTCTGTGTGTGCTTGAGCCTGCACCCCAGACGGCGTGGCCCTCATGGCCTTCCAGGGCTAAAATAGCCATGATTCGGGGAACTGTCTGCCTGTTTATTTTTATGATTATTCTTGGTTTCACAGCATCTGCTTTTGAATATCATCTGCTGTTTTTGATAAGTCTGAGCCTCCGTTTCTTCCACCAAGAGGCAGGTGGGTGCTTGCTGAGCTCTCCAAATGGGGTCAGACTCACCCCAGGTCACCTAGCAAGTCCCAGGTGACCCTGGCCAGAAGCCAAGTCTTTCTCCCTGTCCCCCACGCCCACAGGCCAGGGCTCCCTCCACCCCAGTGCAGAGAGAGACGTCACTGGTGGGCACAGACTGAGCTCTGTGGGGAAGGACACCTGGGCCCCATCTGACCCGACTCTGCCTCAGTTCCACCAGCTAAGAGCCCTCTTGCTGAGACTGCGGCTCTAACGGAAACACCAGTGTCTCTGGGAGGGGCATAGCCAGTTGGAGGTCCTGCATGTCACCTGCCAGCCCCTCCCTGCCTCCCCATCATTGGGTTCATTGCTCACCTCTAGCTGGGTGTCTCTGGGAGGGGCATGGCCAGTTGGAGGTCCTGCGTGTCACCCACCAGCCCCTCCTTTCCTCCCCATCACCGAGTTCATTGCTCACCTCTAGCTGGGATAGCCGTAGCTGCAGCAGCTCCTGAAACCCCTCCCCAACCTCAGCCTCTCCAGGAGCTGCTGGGACAGGCATTCTGTCATGTGCACCTGCCTGGCCTCAGCCTGGTCCTTCCGCCTGAAGCTCCTCAGCCTGGTCCTCTCAGCCTCTTCCCTCTGCATGTGCTGTTCCTTCTGCCCGGAATGCTGTTTCTCTCCCTGTGCCACCTGGTGAAGGCTCCGGGCACCCACAGTCATTGTTCCACAGAGCTCTCCCTGAGCCCCTCTGATGCCCTAGTGCCCTGGATGCCCCTGCCCCAGGGGGAGAGCTATGATCCCACAATCTGAAGGGCACCCGCTGGGCTCATCCTTCCCAGGGTCTTATTGACTTCCCTCAAGATGCCCCTGGGTGGGTGTTTCTGGCCCCACTGTGCCTGTGGGGAACCAATACAGAGGGGCTAAGTCATGTGTCCGGGCTCACCCAGCTGGGGTGCAGGAGGGGCTGAGCTCTGCCTCAATCTGCCTGCTGGCACTTTGTCCCAGTGCCTGGGATCAGCCTTCTGCGGCACCCAGCCCTGTGTGTGGAGGGAATCAGAGGCCCCAGGCCACACAGCCCCGTGCAGTTTGGAGGTGTCAGACCAGGACTTAGACCCCAGCACTGCGGGCACAAATGGGTCCCAGGCAGACCTGGCCCCACCTTTCCGAGCTGACAGCTCAGGGTAGGGTGGGAGGTGGCTGGTCACGGCCGGGATGGGCCTCAGGACAATCAGAGGGAAGAGCGCTCCCGGCAGCAGGAAGGGCACAGTGAGCATGAAGGGCCAGAGGTGGGAAGGAGAGTCTGTGTTCAGGGCTCTGTGAGACACCGGGGGCGTGGGGAGGGCTTTGGGACGTATGGTGAGGGGATCAACTTAAGGTTCTTTGGGCCCTGACGCCCCTCCTCAGGGAGGCCCTCCAGAGCCCACAGCCCCGCACGCCTGCACCGCCTGGCTTCCTTCGCAGTGCCCTGCCACGCGCAGTTCCCTATGTCCCTGCTTTCCTGTTCGCTGTGCTTCCCTCACTGAACTGGAGTGCCTCAGGGGCCCTGGCCTTGGCTGGCCCCTCTGAGTCACTGAGTCACTGCTGAGTGATGGAGTGGATGATTTTAGAATACCCCTCTGATCTCCTTGAGCCTCAGTTTCCTCATCTATAAAGAGGAGATGCTAATACCACTTAACAAGAAGACAATGAAGCCACCCCGTGGGCTCCAGGAGCTGCTCAGAAATGGTCCAAACTGCATGGCCCCCACGCCCGGCTCTCCAGCCGCAGACCCCGCCTTTGCTGATGGGCCCACACCGTGTGGCTCAGAGAGGGGCAGCGACTTGCCACGGCCACTCAGCAGACCGCCCTGGAGCCCAGCGACTGGATGAGTCCTGGGGGGAGAGGGGAGGGAAGACCCAGGATGACCAGCTGTTGAAGGAAGAAGACAGGGCAAGTGGACAGGCCCAGCCTCCTGCGGGGTGCATTCCCCGTCCTGCGAGGTCGCCAGCTGCTCCACGTCTGCCCCGCCAGCACCCTGGCTGCTGGCCAGTTCCCAGCCCGCTGCCCCCTCGGGACCCTGTCCTGCCGCCTTCTCACAGCGCAGTCCCAGTGCGAGCTTCGCGGGGCTGGAGCCAGCTTCTAGGTCCACACTGAGGGCTGGCAAGCAAGCCTTCCCTGGGACTCAGTTTCCCCACCCCTAAGGGGTAGAGACAGCACCAAGGCTACTGCAGAGGGCCTGAGCTGTGGGATGGCAGGACGGGCACTCTGAAGAGGGAGCATGGCGCTTGGAGCCCATGCCCACAAAGCCCTCACCATGGCCCTGCCCCAGCTGCGGGGTGGTGGTGGCTGAGGCCCCAGAGCCTGCCAAGTGCCTCTGGGGTCCCCCAACTCTGTCCCTGGCTTGGCCTGTGGGCCACCCTGCTGCCTTGCCAGGTGGGGAAACCAAGACCCAGCTCTGGGCACCCAGCAGATGCTCGGTGAGTGTTGAACGGAGGGATGAATGAGTGAATGAATGAAATCCAGAGTTGGGTGGGCACCTAGCAGCGCAGCTCCCCCTTATGCAGCCAGCCCAACTCACGCCCATGTTCTCCCTCAGGTCTCTGTTTTCTCATCTGAGAAATGGCTCCCTGTCCAGCAGGACCTGCTCTGAGCTCTCCCCAGCCCGGATCTGGAGGCAGTTTCTCTGCCCTGCCCTTCCCACTCCTGCTTGGCTGGGGGTGAGAACCCCTGCAGGGAGCAGCTCAGGAGCCTCCTATCTAGGGAAGCTGGGGAGAGGGAGGCTGGGGCCAGCCCACAGGGGAACTTACCGCGCTTCACCCGGGCAGGCTGGAGATGGGAGTCCTCAGCTCTCAGCTCTGCATGCAGCCCGGACCTCGCCTTCCTACGGCCTGACGTCAGGCCAGCGCTTGGGGCTCCTTTTGGGCAAAGGCAGGGTGGGGGCGGGGCAGGCTCCTTCCCCGCCCCCAGGAGGAGTCAAGGCTCAGAGCCTGAGGGACGGTGCCTGGGGCACCAGAGTCCCCACACCCACTGGAGACAGAAGAAGAAACCGAGGCACAGAGGGGCCTGGGGCACCAGAGTCCCCACACCCACTGGAGACAGAGGGGGAAACTGAGGCACCGAGGAGCTGAGCCTCAGCTGCACCATCCAGGAGGTGGTGGCTGGCACTTGTGTGTGCCGTGTGCAGGGCAGGAGGTGGGAAACTGAGGCACGGAGGGGCTAAGCCTCAGCTGCACCATCCAGGAGACAGTGGCTGGCACTTGTGTGTGCTGTGTGCGGGGCAGGAGGGGGAAACTGAGGCACGGAGGGGCTGAGTCTCAGCTGCACCATCCAGGAGATGGTGGCTGGCACTTGTGCGTGCTGTGTGCGGGGCAGGAGGGGAAAACTGAGGCACAGAGGGGCTGAGTCTCAGCTGCACCATCCAGGAGACGGTGGCTGGCACTTGTGTGTGCTGTGTGGGGGGCAGGAGGGGGAAACTGAGGCACGGAGGGGCTGAGTCTCAGCTGCACCATCCAGGAGATGGTGGCTGGCACTTGTGCGTGCTGTGTGCGGGACAGGAGGTGGGAGCACACGAAAGCCCAATTTCCTTCCCGGGAGGGGGCATGTGCATGGTAGCTTCAGCCCACGCAAGCCTGGGTTCCTGCATGGCTCTCTGTTTTGCATGTGTCCTGGGTTTGGCTGTGTCTGTGTGTACCCATGACCGACAGCCTGCACACCTGGCATCTGGGCCTCTGTTTGCACCCATGCACCGGTGGCATGTGGCATGTGGGGTCAGGTGTGTGGGAAAGACCTGGACGTGACCCAGGCCAGCAGGTGGGGAGAGCGTGTGGGACCCGGACCTCAGTGCTGGAGGAAGCGTGAGCTCATCAACAGGCTTGATCCCAGAGGGCTGCTGGAGGGCCACTCTCCCCAGACAGCTTCAGAGCCAGGAGGCCTTGTGGCCAGCCTGGGGTGGCAGCGGGGGTTGTCGGGGAGCGGTTGGGGCCATTTAGTTAGTGTCTCCTCTGCCGAGAGCACCATCTCCTCTTGTTCCCATCCCGTGTGCTTCTGCTGATACTCACACTTTAACCTTCCAGCCGCCTGAGTGCCGAGGCCCTGCTGAGTGGGTTGTACTGCACACCGGAGACTCAGGGAAGGCTCCCCAAGGGAGGGGCTGGGCCTTCCCGAGCTCAGGCTGGTTGTAATGCAGACCAACAGGAGAGAGTAGGTGGGCCCTAGGGTCCTGACCCAGCCTGCTGGGGAGGGATGCCGTCTGGGAAGGCTTCCTGGAAGGGGCAGAGGGAGGTATAACAGGAGGCAGGCAGCCCAGATGGGCAGAGGGACAGGAGGCCATCAGAATATTTCCTGGGGAGCAAAGCTGGGAGTGGGCAGGGGACTTCTACACTGAGTCTCAGCAGCCTCTATGGGTACCAGAGTGCTGCAACAGGGAGCCATTGAAAGTTCTGGGAGAGGATGGTTTCTTCACTCTGGAGCAGCCTCCCTGCGGCTGCAGGGCTGAGCCCACAGGCTGCAATTATCTCCTTTAGAACATCGTTGTGTCTGTTTTAGCTGGGGAAACTGAGGCCCAGAGAGGCACAGGAGTCTCTGGCCACCAGCCTCTTGCACCTCTCTGGACCAGGACTGGCTCCTGGCAGGCAGGGTTTCACCGGGCTTGTGGAAGGTGGGGGTGGATGCAATGTCATTTTTGTGTGGGGGTGGCCTGGAGGCAGCCCAGATTGGGCAGGGCTGGAGCCAGAGGAGGCTCAGATTTCCTGAGCAGGCGAGGGTGGCTGAGTCACCGCACCAGTGCCAGGCCTCATGCCCACCTCTGAGGGCCTGGGGCTCCAGCCTTGCACTCTCAGGCTTGTTCTCAGAGAAATCTCAGAGACGGTCCCCCAGCAAACAGCGGGGAACTGCCTGGGGAGGGGTCACAGCCCACGCCAGCCTCCCTGACTCCTCCCCCAGGGAGACTCTTCTCAGCAGGACCCAGGGATCCTCTTGGGGGGACACCAGGGATGGGGGTCCCGAGCTCAGGGCCAACACTCCACAACCCTCAGAGGAGACAGGGCACAGGGACAATTTCCTCCTTGTCATCTTTATCAGGCTGGCAGGTCAGGCCAGGCTGTCTGTGACTGGGGTCAGGGGTCAGAGGTCAGAGAGTGGCTGTGCCCAGGGTCAGGACCCCTTCAGGTGTGTCTGACTGGCCCTTCGCAGGGCAGGACTGCTCATCCTGGGCTCTGGCACACTTTGCAGGGTGGGAGGGGCCCCTTGGGCAGACACTGTAGGGAACTGGGCCTGGTGGAGAGCCCTCTCAAGCCCATGGAAGCATCCTTGGAGGCCCTGCCAGCGGTGAGGCATCAGCAGCCTACCATTCCTCCTTCCCCAAGGGACAGGGTGCAGGGAAGCGCCACAATGATATCTCCACATGAGCCGCCAGCAGGGCTACCAGGCCACCCTGGGCAGGAGGCAGAAGTGGCCCCTTGTGAACCTCCATGGGAGCCAGGTGGACCCATGGCTCCTGTCCTCCACCCTTGGCCTGTGACGCCAAGGCCCTCTCGCTGTGGCAGCTGCAGTTGGGAATCCCATAACGCTGCAATCAAGACTGACAAGCCCCGCCCATCATGGGCAGTGCTGGCACTGTAGGGTCCCCATCCTGAGGGATGAAGCCAACAACGGGCCACTGAGCAGTCCCCGGGGTGGAGAGGGCTCAGGATAATGGGGAACAGCAGATGGTGGTGACAGGCGGGTTCTGCCACCCCTGCTGGTGCCTGACACCGCAGACCTCGTCTGTCCTCCTGAGAGACCCTCGTCTTGGTGCCACTCGAGGATGTAAACAGCCCCGGGAGGCTGGCAGCCGTTTTCTGCCATGTGTCCAGGGGTGAGGTCCTCCCAAGGGGGCCTGCGAAGGTGGGGTGATGCCAGCCAGCTCTGCAGGACTCCCACCTACTCGAGAGGCCAGAGCTATGGAGGAGGGGCAGAGGGGGAGTGCAGAGCTTCCAGATGAGGGGTGATCGGGAGACCTGCAGGCTCCTTCCTGGGGGGTCCAGTGCCCACAGGCCCTCTCCTGCACTCTGGACTTGCTGGGTAGCGGGCAGGCACCTGCCATTGAGCTGGGGTGGGCAGGAGCCTTTCTCTGCCCCAGGGAGAGGTGAGCCTGCATGTCCAGGGAATGTGGGGGCCCCTTGTGCAGCCCTGGGTTCAAGCCCAGCCTGGCGCCTCCCTTGTCTGCTCTGATCCTCAGCCTTGGCCCTGTGGCCTGTGCTCACGGCTGGGAAGGGGCGTCCCTCCTCTCAGGAAGCGCTGGGTCCTGCCGGCCACATCACAGCTCCACAGGGAGGCTCAGCCCCACAGTGGGAACCAAGGAAACTGGGCTGGGGGTACAGGGACAGGACCAGCCCCAAGGCCCACAGCAGTGAGGGGCAGCCTGGGCCCAGTCTGCGGCCTCCTCCTATCTGAGGGGAAGACGCGGACCCCACGGTAGCAGAGCATGTCGGGGCTCCAGGGGTGGAGGCTAGAAGAACCAGGGCAGGCTATGAGACCCTGCAGGGCAGAGCCTTTGAGAGGTGGGTGGGGAAGTACCCAGAGTCCGGGATCATCCAGGCCAGTCTTGGCTGAATGCCTGGAACTCAGCCACAACTGGGGACGTCCAGGGTACCTGGTGCTGTGCCTGGTGCACAGTTAGCGCGCGGCTCTGGGGCTCTAGGGAGTCATCCTAGGGTGGCTGCTGGGACTGCTACCCTCTGGGCTGGCCCCCTCGGTGCCCCAAGGCACCCCCTTATGCCTGCTCAACACTGAGGGTTCCCCCCAGGGCATCTTGTCTCAACATCTGCTCTTACACACAGGGAAACTGAGGCCCAGAAAGGGAGGAAGGCCTGTCCAAAGTCACACAGCAAATGGGGCATGCAGACCCTGGCTGGAACCATGCCTGGCTTGCAGCCCCCCAGTACCCTTCTGTTAAACCCAGTCTCATGGACTGTGGGAAGGGGCACCCACAGAACACTGCCTCATCATGGGGTCTGGCAGGGCTGTGGCCCTGGCCACAGCTGGCACAAGGTGGTGAGACTCAGTGTGGGCTGGTACTGCTGAAGGGGCCCACACGGAAGAAGCTGCAGCCTTGAGCCCCATGGAGCCCAGGGAGGGTCCCCGCAGGGAATGGCGGGGGACAGCAGCGCGGGGCTTATTGGTGAGAAAGCAGAGGGAAAGCCCCAGGCTCCTAAGACCCAATCCGGGAGGGATTGCTGGTGGAGGAGGTCTGGTGACCAGCCTTGCAGGCTCTCCCAGGATTCACACTGGCTCTGCCTGGCCTTGCCATGGGTCCAGGAGCCTGGGGTGAGGTCTGAGTGTGGAGTGTGGAATGCGTGTGGGGCTAGCTGAGTCTTAGCTTACAGAATGGGGCAGCAGGGCCTCAGGGGGAACACTGGGACCAGAGGACCTTGGAACCCGCCAAGTTGGCCCCACCTTTTATACATGTGGAGATGAAGGCCGGAGAGGGGCTTCAGCTATCGAAGCTCCGAGGCAGCTCAGCTCCATGCCAGCCTTCCTGCCACCTGGGCAGGGGTGCCCCTTCACGCCCTGGCCTTCTTGTGGCCAGCCAGGTTACAGCTGGCAGCTGGGCAGGGGTGCAGTTCCCACCATCTGGGTCTCCAGGCCCACCCAGGGCCAGCCCAGGAGGTGCTGGGTGAGTGGTGGGTTCCCCCAGGGCAGAGACAGCAGGAAGAGGATTGCCACCGTGGGGGGCTTCCCGTGTGTCCCGTTCCACCTGGCCTGTGCCTGGACCAGCACTTCTCATCCCGCCCACCTCCTGGTGAGGGTCCTCACAGAGAGCAAGGGGACTAAGTCCCTTCCCTCCCTCGGGCTCACACAGCTGGGCCCCTGAAGAGTCAGGCAGGAACCTGGGAGCTCAGAGGCCAGGCCACTGGGCTCCCACCACCCCGGGACCTTCCACTTGGGGTTTGAGGAGGCGGCCGAGCCTTTGGGGTCTGACCCACGTTGGGGCTGCTGTGGCAATAGACTCCCCAGGGAGAGGGAGAGGGGAAGCCCCGGGACCCTCTCAGGGGCCTGGCCCTGCTCCCTCTCTCCACAGCCTCCTCTGACACTTGGCCCAGCCAGGGAGGGGCTCTAGTGGGATCAGCACAGGTGCCAGAGCAAGCACAGGTCCAGCAGGCTTGGTGGCCGGGGGTGGTGGCCATGCGGGCCCTGCTTGGCACCTCTTATCCCAGGCACTGGAACACAAAACAGGGCAGAGTATGAGGCACTGCTGCGTGGAGCCCTCCTGGGATGTGATCCAAGGGTTGAAACCCCTGGTCTAGCAGGTCAGTCACTCAACATGCAGCGCTCACCGAGACAAGTCTATAACAGCTGCCGCTCACTGAGAGCTTCTGGCGGGCCAGGCACAGGGGAAGCACTTCAGGTCTATTAATTCCCCCAAATAATCTTATAATGGGGCATCCTGTTCCCATCTTCAGAAGAGGAAAGGGAGGCTCAGAGAGGCAAAGTCACTTGCCCAAGGTCATGCAGCTAGGAGGGTGGAGCTGGGACCAGGCCTGGAGTCTCTCAGCCCTTACAAAGCCCCCAAATTGCCAGAGCTTTCTCTCTGGAAGCTCCAGGAACCCATCACCTGGGGAACTGTGACAAGGACCCCACAGCCCGGGAACCCCAGGGGAGAGAGTGTGAGGTCTAAGATCCCTCCTGGGCCCAGGCGCCTGCCCGGGGTGGCCCAGGCCAGCCACCACAAACTGGCCAGGCTGGGCTGAGCTGCAACTCCCTCTAGAGTTGGCCCAGTCCACCCAGGTCAAGAACAGGCCACGTCCCCAGCAGGGCTCGGGACCTGCTTTCTATTTCAGCACTTCCCAGCCCCCGATGGCCCCTTGGGACAGGAATAGCTGTGTCTGTCTGTGTCTGTCTGCTCGGCAGGCCTCAGAGGAGCGGCCCCGGGTACCCGGGTTCTCCTGACCTTGGCTTCCTCGTTGGCCCAGGAGCAGGGAGCATGGATGTCCAGGGGTAGTGTCCGTGTGGGGACGCTGCAGTGGCAGCTGCTGTTCTCTGCCCAACCCCTCCACCTTCCCTCATAGCAATGAGCTTTGGTCACTGTGAGTGGCCAAAATGGCCTAGGCCAGCACAGGCTAAAAGCTACTGGCTGGACATCTGGCACCGGTGGGCAGGGAAACTGGTGACCTCTAAGGAGCAGGACGTGGAGACCCAGGCTCTGAACTCTCTGGCTCTGAGAACAACTTTTAGGAAGTTGCTTGGGTTCAGGGTTTCTGGGACAAGCCCTCCCAAGCACTGGTCACAAGCTCAGGACCGAGAATGTGACCCCAAGGTCTCTCCTCACTGTCTCTGCAGAAGCCTGAGAGCCTTCCCACCTGCACAACTCTGCCCCACTGTTCTCTCCACCTAGAAGGCCTTTCCCACGGATCCAAACCAGCCTCTAGCCACAAGGCCACCTCTTCCAGGAAGCCTGCCCTGACTGGTTTGTCTTAGCCCTGAATTCTGAGGGCAGTCTGGGCCTGGATCAATTGCTGGGATTTTCCTGGGCCAAGTTTGTCTCCAGCCAAATGTTTGACTCCTCTGAGACACGGCCAACGTTTCGCTGGTTTCTTCCTCCTTTCTGTTGCTGAGCATGTGGGGAGGTATATAGTAGAAGCTCAATAAATGCAAATGCCTACTCATTTTAAAAATGGGTGGGAAGGGCAGGGCTCCAGGCTGCCATGGCCCCATTGCAGGCACTTGGGCCCCTTTTCTGCCTGTATAAACTTTCCCACAGAGCCTTCCGGGGTGGCACACACTGCTCTTACGAACAGGAAGTTCTTTCCCGTTTCTAACCTTAGTCCTTCCTGCAGCAGCTTCATCTCATTCTGGCTCCTAAGAGCTGGACCTGCTCACCCTGCCCTCTCCTCCTAGGGGCCAGGAGACCATCTCTTAGTAAGTGAAAGGGATGCAGTGGTCCTGGGGGATGGCGGCAGTGGGATGGACCGCTGATGTTACCTCCACTGTCATAAGCAAGGAAACTAAGCTCTGAGGAACCACCCAGCTACTGAGAGGTGGAGCCAGGATTTGAACCATTCAGGTGAGCCCAGGGCCTCGGACTGGCTCCCATGGCTGTGAGCCTCACATTTCCCTGTGCGGAGACCCTCCTGCAGTGGGTTCCTCCCCTACTCACCAGGGCTGACCCCTACCTCCCAGGGGAGCCCTGGGCAAGTCCCAGCCTGTCTCCTTCCCGACCTGGGTCTGTCCATCTGGGCAGTGGGGGTACAACCCCAGCGAGGCGGTGGAGGAGTCAGGGCCACTATTTATAGAGGCCTGCTGCCTCTGCCGACTGCCTGCCGCCCTGGAGGAGTGCGCGGGAATGGGAGGAGGGAAGCTGTTGTTGGCGGGGTAGGTTACGTTCCGGAAGGCTGGTGCCAACTCTCCCGGTTGGCAAGCGGGGGAGGGCGCTGGGAACCGAGCAAAGGGGAGTGGATGGCACCCGCCAATGGGCGGTCCCAACAGGGTAGGCGGGGCCCTGGCGGGGGCTGCAGACCAGATCTCACGTGCCTCTGCTGAGGCCCCAGCCCAGGACCCCGAAATCCAAACTTCTCTGAGACAGGGAAGCATTTAGGTAGGTTTGACACAAGCTCACTCAGCCGCGTAAACTGACTGGACCCAACCCGAGGGTATTCAGCATCCATTTATCCCTCCCGGTGGGCATACCAATAAGGCTCGTGGCAGAAGTATCAGTGTGTGTGGTGGAGGTGCTTCCCAGACCCCATGGGGTGTATGTGACCTCCGCTAGGTGCATCTCACTGTCTTTCTAAAATCTGAGCCAGACCCTGAAATGCACACAGCCTCAAAAGTTTCTACAAGCCACTGTGAACCTGATTGTCTCCTGCATTTTACAGACGAGAAACCTGAGACTTGGAGAAGGGACCAGCGGGTGGCCGGGACCTGCCCTGGGGGCTGAGACGAGGACTCCTTGGGATCGGAATTCCAGCCCTTGCTGGTGGGGCCCAGTTTGAGGTTGTCCCAAGAGCTATGGAGTCTCTCACTAAGGAAGTACCTTCCCTGTCTCTGCTACCCCCTAAAATCGGCCTGTTCTGTCCTGAGCGGTCTTCCTGGAGGCCTCCCAGGGGAGCTCAGCCCCCACTGGCAGCCCTGGCTCTGCCTAGTTCTGAACCCCTACCGGCTGTTGTTCACTGTCTGGGGCACAGACCCTCTCTGCCTCCAGCCCCATGGGTGCTGATCCAGGAGGGGCTACCTCCTCCAACTCTGTCACTGCTCCTCCAGGGTACCAGCTGAGGCCAGGTCCTCAGGTGCTTTGGAGGTGGGAGTGAGAACTAGGCTCAAAGTCTAAGCCCCGGGCTCAGGTCCCAGCATGGCCCCTGACCAAGGCCAGGGTTTCGTGGCTCAGAGCCTCAGCTGGCTCACTTGGAGTCAAGAGCATTGGACTCTGTCCTGACCAACTCGTGGGGCCATATGGGGGGTCAAGTGTGAGGCCTGGGTCAGGGCTCAGCCTGTGACCAGGGTCAGAGTTCACTGTGTGACCAGGATCAGGGCTCAGGCTGTGACTAGAACCAAGGATCAGTGTGTGACCAGGGTAGGGGACCAGTGTGTGGCCAGGATCAGGGCTCAGTGTGTGAGCGGGATCAGGGCTCAGTGCATAAGCGGGATCAGGGCTCAGTGTGCGAGCGAGATCAGGGCTCATCCTCTGGCTGGAGTCAGCAGTCAGGGTACTCAACCCGATGCAGGTTACCCCCCATCTACTCTGGCCCCCTTAAGAAGGCCTCTCATAGACCAGGTGGCCCTACGTAGGGCATTTCTCATGACCTCTGCGCCTTGTCCCGGGGTGGGGTTGGCGGTCCTCTTTCCAGTGAGGAATAGGGAGGTGCTCAAAGTCCCCTCCCAGGCGCTCCCCACATCCCCTCCCAGGCTCTCCCCACATCTTTCTCACAGTAGAGCTGCTGGGGTCTGGGATCCAGCAGGCCTGCCCGTGCAGGGCCCCAGGCCACTTCCTGCTTATGAGGCGTGTCAGAAGGACAGAGAGCAGGCCCGGAAGGTGCTTAGCTGGTGGGGGCGGCTGGGAGCCGCCGAAGCTCAGGAAGAGGTGAGGGAGCCTGGGTAGGGCAGGCACATTCCTGGGAGCGGCTGAAGCTCAGGGAAGAGGTGAGGGAGGCTGGGTAGGGCAAGCACGTTCTCAGGCTGCAGGGTGGCTGCCCATGGCCGGGGTGCTTTTGGATGGCCAGCTCCCCGGTTCCCATCCTGCTCGGGCCTCTGCTTTTGAAGAGGGTCATGGTGAACGTCTGGATTTTGGGCCCTGTGTTCCCTCTGATGAGCTGGACTCTGGGCTCCAGTCCCCACTCCCCCCGCCCCCCACCCTGCTCTCAGGAAATGAGCCTTGTGCCCAGACTGGGCGCCTTCCCTGACCCTGCGACTCAGGCCCTTCTCTGTGGGGGGCGTGAGAGCCTTGAGCCTGGCAGGAAACTAGGTAGCAGATCCACAAACACAAAGGGACAATTGGCCGTCATGATAGCGATGGTGGTGACGGCAGTATCTTCATGACAGTGGCCCCGCAGCAGGGCACGGAGCCACCTTGTGCTGTTCCTCACAAGGGCCGGCCATGGGGTGCAAGGGCTGCAAGTGAGAAACTCTGCAGACCCCAGCCAGACCTGGGGGAGCCCCGTCTCCAAAGGCCCTGCTTGGTGTGGCAGGTGGGATTAAGGTTGGCGGTCGGTGGAGGAGCAGGTGGGGCTTCCTGGAGGGGAGGGAGGAGAGACCCCACTGGTGGGTGGTGGGAGGGGCAGCAGGTCTCAGGCGGGAGTCACGGCTAAAGGCCAGTTCTGGGTGGGGCCTCCTATCACTGCGGGCAGGGGCAGGACAGCTGGGGATGGGCTACTGAGGGATCGTGTCTAGAAGCAGATGGTTGCTGTGTCCCGCCTGTGGGTGTCTGGGGAGTGGGCAGACTGGGCATGGTCATGGGTAGGGAAGGGGGTGTGGCCCTCTCAGACCCAGCAAAGACCCTGGGGTCCTGGCCACCAGTCCAGCCTCTGTTTCTACCAGACACCTGTGTGTGGGACAGGTGGACAGTCAGGTCATTTGAAAATATTCTCCAAGAGGAAGCTCTTAGAATCTTTCGTCCCTTTAGCTGGGGTGGGTGGGGGGGCAACATCCTTTGATTCAGAGTTTTGGATCTGGGGTCCTGGGCAGCTCCAATGGCTTCACGAACCCCTAGACTTTGTGTGTGTGCAACTGCCCATGTGTGTGCCATGAGGGTCCATTGGGACTGTGAAGGGTCTGAAAACCCACGTGGGTTAGAACCACGGTGTGGTCCGGCCCCGTTCAGTGCAGATGGGGCAGGCAGCCCCCAAAGCCACGCTGAGAGTTGGAGAGTTAGAGCCAGGTCAGCTGTTGGGAAGGGCTTCTCTGCCCCCATGCCCCAGACCCTCCTTCAGGGGCAGATTTCTGTCAGAGAGACTGGGATGGGCCTCAGATGAGCCCCATCAACATCCAAAGAGAAATGGATTGTGGAAGATCCGCCTCACTTGTCCAGCTGACCATGTGTCTATCTGTCCTTCTCCAGGACCCTGGCAGAGAAGGCTGCCGGGGGGCCGGCCACCACCGTGTGGGGTTAGTTCCAGGCAGCAGCGTCCCGGTGGCTTTCATCCTTCACCTTTGTACATCCTGGCCGTGTTTGACATCTTTACGGTGAGCTCGTGCCGTTCTATAAACATACGTCCTTTTCTTCCTTAAAGAACAGCAAAAAGTTGCCTGGAGTGACTGGAAGCAACCCTCGCAGGACATTAGCAAGGATTAGTTCTGGGCGGGAGAAAGCAGGTGACTGTTAATTTCTTCTTTCCACTGATTTGTATTTATTATTAATTTATTTAAAAATTTTAATACAGAAACCCCTCTGCTCTCTAATTGTTCAGTCACTTGCATATCACCATCAGGCCTGTACATCAGTAGAGGCAGAAATGTGTAGCTTAATGCCAACTTCCCTTCCCAGGTTGTGGGTGCAGGGTGACAGGAGGAGAGAAGCCCTGGCGCACGCCTGCCTCATCCCTGGCTGGTCCTGGGCAGGCGTCACCAATCAATGAGGCTCTTGCTCCCCAGGAGCCTGGATGGACACCCCCTCCCCGGCCCTCTGGGCAACCGGCCCAGTGGACCAGCAGAGCAGGCAACATGGCCCCGACTGGATTGGGTCCAGACTCCTTAATTTATCCATGAAGAACCTGAAGCCCAGAGGCATAGTAATTGCCAAAGTCCCACAAGTGTTCAGGGCCAGGCTGCCCCTGGCTCAGTGTTCTTCCTGCTGGGAGCTGGGCCATGGGCTCTGCACTTCCTCACTCTGCATTTGGGTCCATCTGGTTGGGACTGCCAGGCAGGGTGAGGGAAGCCTCCCAGCACTGTCCACCGTCCGGGGGAATACTTAATGTGTCATGTCCTCCACCTGGGCAGGGGCAGGGCAGGGGTGAAACACCTCCCTGCCCACCAGAGCTGCCTCCCCCAGAGTCCCAGACCCAGGAACCAGCCCCCGCCCCACCCTGAAGCCTGCCAGGACCCAGCCCTTACCAAGGGGCCCAGGGGTTGTAGCTCAGAGGCGTGGGATGCGGACCCCCGACCACCTAGCTGGCAGGGGGCAGAGTCCGGACTCAGACCCAGGACCACCCATGCCAGCACACAGCCCCTTCCCCACAGGCGCCTGTGGAGCAAGTCAGGAGGCAGGACACAGCCTTGAGGACTGCAGGTCTGATGAGGACAGTATCTGCCCTGGGGACCCTGATCTGAGGGAGGAGGCAACAAAAAATGACTCATCAACGGGGTGATGGGGACATTTTGGGATGGCAAATTTGGATCTCAACCCGGGCCCCACCGCCTCCCACCAGAAGCAGTTACTTAGCCTCCCTGTGCCTCAGTTTCCCCATCTGCATAGTGAGGACAGCAATGTTTGGGGCCGTGTGAGGAGTAAATGAGGCAACAGTTGTGGTTTGGGTCTGGTCCGTGGCTGTGTGGGGTCAAGTGAGCCCGTGTGTGCCCATGGCTGCCTGTGCATCAGAATCACCGGGAGTTCCCATCAAACACAGACATCCGGGCCTGGCCCAGGGAGGCTGACTTTAATGGTCTGGGCAGAGACCTGGTCATCAGCACTTTTTTTTTTTTTTTTTTCCGAGACAGAGTCTCATTCTGTCTCCCAGGCTGGAGTGCAGTGGCGTGATCTTGGCTCACTGCAACCTCCGCCTCCAGGGTTCAAGCAATTCTCCTGCCTCAGCCTCCTGAGTAGCTGGAATTACAGGTGCCCGCTACTATGCCTGGCTAATTTTTGTATTTTTAGTAGAGATAGGGTTTCACCATGTTTGCCAGGCTGGTCTCGAACTCCTGACCTCATGATCTGCCTGCCTCGGCCTCCCAAAGTGCTGGGATTACAGGCGTGAGCCACCGTGCCCGGCCGGTCACAGCATTTTAAGGACTCTGCCATGATTCTGATGTGCTGCCAGGGTGGCTGTGCCTGAGCCGGCCTTTGGCTCTTGCGCACACACTGAGATGCCGGTTCGAGTGGATACAGGGGGTCAGCCCACTTGTTTCCCACGGCCAGCCTCCAGTTGGGCTCACATTGAGTAACTGTCTGAGCCCAGTCCCAGGTAGACATCGTCAGTTTCCACGTGTTCCTTCATTCACTCAGGAACAAATGGGCTTTACTTTATCCGAGGCCTTGTAGATAATTATTTTTTCCCTCTGTAAACCAAGTCCTGCTTAAATCCCATCCAAATCCCTCCAGCCAGAGCCCATGCTGCCTGCGAGCCTGCTCCCCATCTCCGGCTGAGCAGGTTTGTTTAAGGCTGGGCTGACACTTCTTCTCCCCGCGCCTTGGTGTGTTTACACTGGGGCCATCAGCAGAAACTGCAGGTGCGGCAGGGAGGCTGGAGACAGGGCAGGGACCATGGGGGTTTCAGGGCGTCCTTTCCACACAGTGTCTCAGGTCGCCCTGTTCCCAGCCTCGTCCTCGTTCTCGTTCCCACAGGCGAGGCCTTGGAGGTCACTCAGGACAGGGGAAGTGCTGAGGCGAGGCCTCAGGCTGCTAAGTGGAGTGAGCCCAGGAAGGCTTTTTGAGTGGGGGACGCCCGAATTGGTTTTCTGTGAAGACCAGGGAGCAAACGTGCCTGCCATGGAGTGAACGGCAGGACCCGCAGGGAAAACCTCAGGCAGCGGCTTGAAATACCATGGCCGTCCATGGAGGGGGCTGGTCAGATGCTGGCGGTGTGGGCAGAGGAGGCTCTGGGCCACTGCCTGAGTGTGAGTCCTGCCACCACCACCTGATGGCTGAGTGACCTTGGGCACGTTACTTAACTTCCCCATACCTCGGTTGCCTCATCTCTCAAGGGAGTAATCATATTAACTTCTCAGGGTCATTGCAAGGGTGAAATCATCTAGAGACACAGAGCCTAGAATACCATACTCAGGAGTTTGTGCTCTGCCCTATAGGCAGTGGGGAGTTATGGCGAGTGGTTGAATAGTGCTGGAGCTGGGCTTTCTGAGGGTCTGAGCTCCCAAAGCCTTTTCTGTATGGCTGGGTTGTGAGGCTTTTATATTGTCACTGCTGACCAATCACAGATTGGCTACCCTTCCTCCTGGCCAGTGATTGGTTTAGGGTGGGTTAGCCTAGCCAGCTTTGGGCCAATGACAGGTGACCAGAGGCTTATTGTGGGTTCTGAGCTCCCTCCTGTCCCCGGATAGACAGGCAGCCTTTTTGTGAGCATGAGGGGAACCTGCCTGAGAATGATGGTGGGGAAAATCTTAGAGAGGCACAGCTGGGTGTGGTCACCCTGTCCTGGAGCCCACAGTCCCTCTGCACTTCCCGTTATGTGAGTTCCTAAATTTCCTCACTGGGAAGCCTGGGATTCTGTCACTTGCTTCTCAAAGTACCCAGTGTCCACATGGCAGAGTGTCCTCCTAGAGCCCACATCTGATTGCATCCCTCCCTGCTGAAAACCGTCAGGGGCTCCCACCCCTTGATGAGGAAGCACAGTGCTTCACCCCATAGCCTGTGCCTCCCACTGCGGGTTCTGCCGGCCCCTGACTGTCCTTGAACACACCAGGCACACATCTGCTGTGGGGCCTTCGCGCTGCTCCTCCCTTGGCCAGGAGCATTCTTCCTTTAGGCCGGTCACTGCTCACCTCATTGAGGGCCGAGCTCAAATGTTGGCCCCTCAGGGCAGGTGGGTGGCCAGGACCATCTGGGTTTGCTGCAGCCACACACACCCCTGATTCTTCTGTGGCCTTATTGATGGAGGTGTGGGTCTCGCTCACGCCATGAATTGCTGGTCGGTGTGGTGGGGGATGGGTCTCTTGCTCCTTGGTGGCTCGGGGACCTGAATGACAGAGGCTCCGCCATTGCCTGCAGCCGGTGCTGTCTCAACACAAGGCCTCAGGTCCCCTGTGGTGGGGGAGAGTGGAAGAACAGGGCACCAGTTCCTAAAAGCTTTGTCCCTGAAGTGTCCATCACATTCATCTCTTCTACTCGCATTCCAAGGACCACAGTCAGTGGTGGTGGCCATGCCTAATATGAGGGGGCATGACCCCAAGCCTGGAAGGGGCCTGGCACACAGCAGTGGCTTCCTGGCCATCCAGTCCCCGTGAGCGGTCTCTCCCCTCCACAGCGGCGTCCTGTTCTTATTCGGGAAAAAATGCACATAACACAAAATTCACCATGTTAAAGTATGCAACCCGCCTTCATTCACAGGGTGGAGCCCCATCACCTCTGCTTCCAAAACATTTCCATCACCCGAAATGGGAAACCCCATTCCTCCCGCCGAGCCCTGGCAACCAACAATCTGTGCTCATCTCTATGATGTGCCCACTCTGGGCATTTTGTATAAATGGAATCATGTGATATACAGTCTGTCGTGTCTGGCTTCTTTCACTCAGCCTCATTTTCTCAAGAATCGTCCACACTGCAGCCTGGATCAGAGTGTCCTTCCTTTTCATGGCTGCATGCTATTCCACTGCTGAGATGTGCCACCTTTTCTTTGTCTGTTCATCCAGTGATGGTTGACGGACATTTGAGTGTTTCCTGGCTTTGGTCATTGTGAACAGCACTGCTACGCGTGTTCACATACAAGTTTTTGTTTGAGTCCTGGCTTTTTTTTTTTTTTTTTTTTTTGAGATGGAGTCTCGCTCTGTCACCCAGGCTGGAGTGCAGTGGCGCGATCTCGGCTCAATGCAAGCTCCGCCTCCCTGGTTCAAGCAATTCCCCTGCCTCAGCCTCCTGAGTAGCTGGGACTACAGGCGCCCAACACCACGCCCAGCTAATTTTTGTATTTTTAGTAGAGACAGGGTTTCACCATGTTGGTCAGGCTGGTCTCGAACCCCTGACCTCGTGATCCACCCACCTCGGCCTCCCAAAGTGCTGGGATTACAGGCGTGAGCCACCACACCCAGCCAAGTCCTGGCTTTTAATTCTTTTGGGTAGATACCTGGGCCTCATCCCATTGCATTCCTTCTATAACTGATCCCCCTCCGCAGTTACTTGCTCCCAACGTGCCTCTGTTTCCCTCTCTGTGAACTGGGCATGTTGCTGATCTCCAGTTATGAGCAGTGTCTCTCTTAGGTGGTGTGTTCTGCAGGGAGGGGAAGCAGCCGCTGCCCCTGCACGCGCCTGGCCATGCTCACAGCATCTTCCCGTCGCTCCTTGACTTGTTCACTGACCCCTCCCTGATGTGGCCGGAGGACGGGGCCTGGTATCACCTTGTCCTGTGCAGGCCTGACACGTAGAAGGTGTTTGGCTGATGCTTGCTAGTATAGGAATAAGCTAGTTCTCTAACCTGGAGTTCCTCCCTGTGAGGTTTTGTTTGCAAGAAAAAATCTGCTGCTAAGCCAGCTGTGGAGGCACATGCCACAGTCCTAGCTACTCTGGAGGCTGAGGCAGGAGGAGCGCTTGAGCCCGGGAGTTTAAGGCTGCAGTGAGCCATGCTCGCACCGCTGCACTCCAGCCTGGGCAACAGAGCCAGACCCTGTCTCTTAAACAAACAAACAAACAAACAAACAAACACCCTGCTGCTAAAACATGTGGAAAGTGTGATGGACGCCACACTGGCAGTTTTGCTTCCTCAGCCAGCACCTCCCACATGCTCCCAGGGTCAGAGGTCAGGGATCAGGCTGGCTCCTGGTAGGGGGCTCTGTGTGCCCTGGCAAGTCGCCCCTCCCTGGGCCAGGAGCGAGGTGAGGGTGTCCACAGCAACAGGCTGTGTTTGGACACAAGCGGGGTGGGGCTGCACCACACGGGGCTCTTCCTGTGCCTTATAAATCAGCTCCCAAGAGCATTCCCCAAAAGGAGTTTCAGCTGCTCCCGAGCCCAGGACAGCAGGCTGGTCTCCCCTCCGGTGAGAAATCTCCTCTCCCGTCTACCACCCCAGGAGTTCCCCAGAGAGGCTCGGTTATCCTCCAAGGAGGGGATACTCGCTGCCTTGCCGAGATCGGAATCCACTTTTGCCTGTTCTCTAAGCCCTGCTGGAGATGTGGGAGTGCCCCTGCCCCACAGCCTGTTCCGAACTCACTTGGGCCATCGCCCAGCTCCAGCCTGTCTCTCAGTGTGAACCCCGAGAGCATCTTCTGCACCCAGGTGGATGGGTGGCTAACAGCATGGGCATCAGGGGCTCCTGGCTTTGCTTCCCCGCGCCTGCATTTCCTTGCTGTTTGGCTTTGGGTGATCTGCAGGAAGGAGGACTGCCACCGCCATGGCACGCGCCTGGCCTCTCCACTGGCACCTTCCTGTTGTTCCTTCCCTTGTTCGCCAACCCCTCCCTGATGTGGCCGGAGGACAGGGTCTGGTGTCGCCTTGTCCTGGCACAGGCCTGGCAGGCAGAAGGTGTCTGACTGATGCTTGCTGGATAGAGGAATAAACTAGAGCTAGATCTTGGGGCTCCCTGTGGGGTTTTGTTTGCAAGAAGAAATCCCCTTCTCTGCAGCTCCCTGGGGCTCTGTCATTGCAGAGGGGGACTGGGATGACTGGGGAGGCACGCGCCCTGCTGAGGGCAGCCACTTCTCCAGCCCAGCAGGCTGTAATCCGACATCCACAGGGATTATCCTGGTAACTGGTGGTGCATGGCCCCTGTGCTGAGAGGGCTGCAGTGTGCACGCCCCGTTTAGAGCATCGTATGGGTTCAGCATGTGTCCGCGGATGGGTGCTTGAGGAGCACCTGTCAGACGGGTGCCTGTCAGGCCATATTTTTGGCAATGGTAGCTTCCCGGGAATGAGGGATTTTTCCTGGGATAAAGGCCCCCGTGGAGGGTGGTCAGCAGCCCTGAGGACGTGGTATGAGACCCACAGCCTTCCTTGACTCCAGAGCGGCCAGGAAGCTGGGACTCCAGCAAGCTGTGCTGCCCCCACCAGTGCCTGTGTTCCCTGCATCTCACATGGAGCCTCACTCAACTCCTGTCCCTGAGTGCCCACTGGTGGGGACGAGGGAGATGGCAACTGTGGATGGATCCCAGGCCAGTGGAGAAGACAGACCCACACGCCAGGAGGATGAGGGGTTGTCAGGTTCGGGGGGCCTGGAGGCTGCCTCCTGCAGGCCCTGTCCCACGTGAGAGGGTCGGGACCTCAGGTTCCTCAGCCTGGACCTGCCGTGTCTTGGGCAGCATCCAGTGTTTGGGCCCCACGACCTCCAGGGAGGGTCACTTGTTCTGTGGCTGCCCTCTGTCCCCCACCAGGCTCCCCATGGAGGGCTCAGCATGCAGGCTCAGCACACATCAGGCATGGAGGCCCTGGCCCCACGTTCCCTGCTGCTGGGCAGTGCACAGCCTGCCTGAGCCTGGGTCCCTGGGTGGGGCCAGCTGCCCCCGCCCTCTTCTGGGCCTGGTGGGGACATTTGGACCCTCTGCATTGTTGCATCCCTAGATTCAGCCCTGCTCTGCTCCCTGTGGGGACACCAATCTCCCTTCCTCAGCCTCCCAACAGGCCTCATCTGCTGAGGAACGGGAGGCGTGGGGCCCAGGCACCAGGCCCGTCTCTTGTCCCTTCCCAGAACATCTTCTGCCTCCTCCCCTTCTCATCTTCCCCTTCACCTCCTCCCTCCTTTCTCCCTCCCTCTCTCTCTTTCCCTTCCCCCTCCCTCCCTCTTTTTCCCTTCTCCCTCCTCCCCTTCTTCCTTCTGTTCCTCGCTCTCCTCCCCCTGTCTCCTCTTTGCCTTCCTCATCATCTCTCCTCTCTCGTCCTCAGCTCAGGGACCTTCACTGAATCTGGAAAAAACAGGAGAAACAGCCTCATCACAAATTCTCCAAATTGTTCTTGGATTGAGGGTTGGGAACTTCAATGCCAGAAACAGTGTCATTTTCCTGGTTTGGCAAGGGTCTCTGAGCCCTGTGGGCCCCTCCAGGGTCTAAGAGGTCCCCAGAAAACAAGGTGGGATGAAAGCCTTCTGTCAATACCCTTGCCCAGAGGTACACGTGAGGGCTTCAGGACAGGAGGCAGGAGCCTCACTCCTGGGTCCCTGGTGGGCCAGGGGTACAGGGGAGAGCGGCGTTCTGAACCTGTGTGGGTCGGGGGGTTGGGCAGGCCCCGGTGGAAGGCCACTCCCCACTCTCCCTGGAGACCTCCCGTGGGGTCTCCCCCTCTGAAGATACAGGTTTTCCTAAGTCACACTGAGGGGCGGGCTTGCTGAGGCCCAGCTGGGGGTCTTCCTGCAGACCAGCCTGTCACTCCCCACTTGCCAGTGGTCTGGGCTGCAGCTGGGGAGGGCTTCTGCTCTGGGTCTCAGGACCTGGTGGGGGCAACTCATGGAGCAGGCTCTCCCTGCATTGGTGGGGGTGAAAGGACAGGCCCTTCCAGGCTGATCTCTGGGGGAGGGTCCTGACCCCTGGGAGCCCTGGGTGCTGAGGAGGCCTCTCCCAGGGCCATAGTCTCCATGGATGGAAGTAGGGGGTGGTGGCTGGGCCAGCCCCCGACACCCACCAGCTGCCAGGCCTGCTCTGAGAGTCCCCGATCCCTCCACCACCCTTGAGGCCACACCCAGCTGTGGTGTCCCAAAGCCCTGCTCTTGGGGCGGACAGGGAGCACGGTTCTACTTTCCCCACCAGCCGCTCCAGGCCGGCTCTGCTGGACCCTGCAGTGCAGAGAGGACGGAGCTGGACCCCACCTTGATGGGCCACAGGATGGGGGCACATCAGACGCACGAGAGGTCTCCCTTTGGCCATGCCATGTGTGCGGGAGCCTCAGTCAAGCTGTGAACACACTCAGCCTCAAAGGACTGAGCGGAGGGCCCCGCGCTTGCAGATCGCATCCTCCTTCACCGGGATTGTGGGGTGAGGAGCAGACCCCGGCTGCGGCTCTGCCTCTTGCCCTGAATGGGGTGCTGCAGGGCTGGCATGTGGACGCTTTTTGCTGGAGTATCCCCTGAATCCCAGCAGATGAGGAAGCCAGGTAGGGACCCGCAGGCAGGACCTGATACAGAATTTCAGGGCCCTGGGGCAAAGTGGAAATGCAGGCCTCTCATTCAAAAATGTTCAACGTCGCCCTACAGCAACAGCAGAGCATTCAACCGGGCTGAGGGTGGTGCCCGTGACCTGTGCCCAGCTCGTACCCAGTGCAGCGGCCCTGCCCCACAGGCCCCACGAGGGGGCGCCCGTGTGGCGTGCCTGAGGCCCGCTCCTCGCAAGCTTGCCTGCCCCGACCCTCCCGGCATCCTCAATGCCGCAGCGTGGGTGTCCCGGCCTCCTCACTGGCGGAAGCATCTATGGACGGTGGTCCTCCAGGAGCTGGGGGTCACAAGTGCAATGGCAGGTGCCAGATGGGGCTGAGGCCAGCAGGGCTGTGTGTGGTGGGACACCTGGCCACGGTCACCCCCAGGGAGGCCCCGTCATCCCCAGGAGACACCCTAGCTCTTGCCTGGGACCCCAGCACCAGGCCACAGGGTCCCTGCTGACTCCCCCATCCTCCCTCCGCCAAGGCGCCCCTCCTGCCTGCTGAGCTCCAGCCTCTTTCCTCCAGGAAGAACGCTTGGCCGGCAGGTCCCTGCTCAGATGCAGTGCCTGGGACGTGCCTCCTGGATGCCCCCACGACAGTAGCTGCAGCACTGTCTAGGGGGGCTCCCGCTGCAGGTCCCAGTGATGCCTGGCACAGGTGCTCAATGAAAGTTTGCCAAACTCAGGGGCAGGGGGAGCCAGGAGCGCTTTCAGCTGCCAATGGGCGACACAGCTAGAGCATCCAGGCTTAGGGTAGCCCCACTGCTGCAAAGGTCCCAGCTCAGTGTCCCACCAAACTCCCACACCCTACCTCACTGGTGGTCTCAGAAGTCCAGGTCAGGCACTGCCATACCTCCACCCCAGCCCCCAAGGGGCCGGAGCTCAGCCTGCAGTGGCCTTCCCTCATCCTTGTAGGTGGCACCAGCTGCAGGCTTGGGAAGCCGCCCCACCCTGCCCACACCAAGTCAGGGCAGGCCTGGGTGCCCCACAGAACACAGTGAGGTGGCACTGGGTGGCCTCTGAGGTCAGATCACACGTGTCTTGCTCTCCTGGGTAGCTCCTTGTGGGGGAGGCCAGCCCCAGCACTGGGAGGACACCCAAGCATCCCTACAGAGGGGCGTCTTGAGGAAGACTCTGAAGCAGCAGCTAATAACCTGCATGGCCTGGCCAGCTGGGACAGTGAGAGGGTTCCGAAGGGGATCCCCCAGCCGCAGTCGGGCCCTTGCATGTCTGGAACCCTGGCCATCTGACTGCATCTCATGAGACCCCAGCCAGAGAACCGCCCCGCCCAGCCACTCAGAACTCTTGACCACAGACGCGGAGAGAGAGCAGGTTTTACAGGCACAACTAATACACAAATGAAAATGTCACCATCACAGTAGCGTGGCTGCATTAACGAAACTAGGGGAAGGAGGGAAATGAAAATGACTTTCCCAGCTCCTGCACGCCAATCCCCCGAGTCCTGGCCTCCCTCAAGCCCTGCTTCCTCTTCGCATCAGGGGCGTGGCTGCTTACGCTGGTTCCCTCGATAGCAGAGCCTGAGATAGGGACATTGGTGCAGGTGGTTTATTTGTGATGACCAGGTGAGGGAGCCAACACAGGTGTGTTATGGAGGTCTCAGCTGGTTTCAGGACCTCCTGAGAAGTGTGCCGGACACCTGAGGAAGGTCCTTCTGCAGATGGGAGGCAGGTGTATCCGCCAGAGCCCTGCCACACTGCGGAGGGCTGGCCCTCCTCTGCCCTTCAGGGCTTGGTACACACGGAAGGCAGGCACTGAGGAGGAGGGTCCAAGCTCGCTCAGAATGGGCCACTGCCACTGAAATCAGGGAACAGAGGGGACGTGAAGTGGCCCAGAGAGCATCGTTCCGCACACTTACTCTCTTCCTAGATGTATACTCCTGCACCCCGCTCCTGTTTACCTAACTAACCACTGAACAACAAGCTCTTTTTTATTTTGTTTGACGCTCAGGGCTTGAGGAGGATTCAAAAGGACAGTCATAAAGACATCTACTTCTGCGCAGGCAGAAGCAACGCAGCACTTGACAGCCACCATCTTGTGGGTCTTCCCAAGAGCCCTGTGAGGTTGGAGCTATTACTATGACATTTATAGATGGGGAAACTGAGGCCAGGAGAGGTCAAAGTGTGCAGCCCAGTGATGGGGGCTCAAGAGCTGCTGCTGGTGCCATTAGCCCACCCATGCCCTCCGTGGCTGGATCTAGGTCCCCCAGCCTGGGCCCCTCCTGTAGGGCCCTGCTGGGCTGGAGGAGGCTTTCCAGAAATCCACTTAACGCTGACCTCGTCTTTGTCCTCCTTGGAGCTAATCTGCTAATCCTGCCAGCCCCAGTGGGCCTCACCACTGTCTAGATCGTCCTGCATGGTTGGCATCCCTCTCCAACAATCCCCCACCTGCGGGGGCCTCCTCCTGGCCATGCCTCCAGGGCTGGGCAGGTCCAGTGACTGGGGTAGGTGGAGCTGGGATTCTTTCTGTGGAACATTCCTCAATCCTGGGGGAGATTCTGGAGTCTGGAATTCAGGAGACTGGGCCTGGCTTCTGACCCCACCTTTTCACGGCTCAGCCATCATCTCTGAGGCCCCGTTTTCTCCTCTGTAAAACACGATCACTTTGAGCTCTCTTCCGGCTATGAAATCCCAGGATTCTCCCCAAGCCTGTTCATGCCCGGCCCATTCCACTCACAGCAGTTGGACAGCTCTGGTTTCACCGTGCCTGGGTTTGAATCTTGATTCTGCTTTCGCTTAGCTTCTGCTTCCTAATCTGCAAAATGGGGGTGTCAGGGATTCCTCTGCAGGGCTCAGTGTGGACTTGGTGGGTGGGTGTAAGTCCCTGGCATGTGGTCAGCACTCGGTGAATGTCTGAGAACTGAAATGAATCCAGCATGGAGGAGCCTCCTCCTTTGCTCCCGACTCCCTGCAGGATGGTAAGAGCGTGGGGAGGAAGGAGGCTCCAGCCTCTCGGGAGCCCACTCACCCCAGCAAATTTGGGTGGCTGGGATAGAAACCTCTCTGAGATTTTGGGCAGGAGAGGAGGAAAATAGCATGAAACAGGCAGGGGGTGTTGGTGCTGCTCAGGCTAGATGAAGCCAAACATTTATTTATTAATGCTTTTTTTTTTTATCTTTTTTGAGACAGGCTCTCGCTCTTTCACTTAGGCTGGGGTGCTGGCGGGATCAGGGCTTACTCTAGCCTTGTCCTCTTAGGCTCAGGTGATCCTCCCACCTCAATCTCCAAGCTGGGACTATAGGAGCATGCCACCATGACTGGCTAATTTTTTATTTTTTGTAGAGATAGGGTCCCACTATGTTACCTAGGCTGGTCTTGAATTCCTAGGCTCAAGTGATCCTCCCGCCTCAGCCTCCCAAATTGCTGGGATTATAGTGTGAGTCACTGTGCCCGGCCTTAAGCTAAACATTTAAAAAATAAGAATTAAAATGCAGCCACAGTGAAACGGGAAGGGGCTGCTTTTACAGGTGCTGAACTTCCCGGCAATAGAAGCATTTAATGGGAGGTTCCCTTTTTCCTAGGACCTCAAAGCTGGAGTACCAGGGATGTTGCCTTGACCTTCCCATGTGTGGATTTCTGCTTGAACACACCAAGTACAGGACACCCTGTTTAGCAGCTAAACGTGGGAATTGCACCAGCTTTACTCCCAACTTGCTGGGCAATCTTCGGGAGTTGCTGACCTTCTCTGTGTCTCATCAGCAAAACAGGGAGAACACTAGCTCTCCCAACATGGGCTGTGTGAGGACCAAATGAGCTGAGGAGCCCAGATTTGAACCCGGGTCTGCAAGGTTATGTCCTCTGAGCCATCCCCACCCCTGCCCTTAAGGACCAGGGGCCTCTGGACACCATCAGCTTGCCCACCTGTCCAGGATTTGCACGCACCTGCTCGGTGCCAGATGCTGGGCACTGGGGACAAACCAGGTGAGGTGTGGACCGTGACCTGTGTTGTCACTGATTGGGGGACTTTCTGGCAGAGTGGAGAGTGCAGTGGGCTGAGAGACAGGATGGCCAGTGGAGACTGAGCTCTCAGAGGCGGCGGCAGCTGATGGGGACCATGCAATGGGAAGGATGGAGGCCCTGGGATAGTCTGCGGTGAACTTCCAGGCAGAAGGAACAGCAGGTGCAAAGGCCTTTAGCTGGGAAGGAAACTCTGGGTTGGAGGAATAGCTTGCAGGCGCTCTGAGAGAGGCTGGCAGCCAGGTGGCAGGGAGGCAGCCCAGTCAGGTGGTCTTGGGACAGTTTAGGGTCTCTGGCCTTCACCAGTGAGGTGGTGTCTGGAGACTTTTGCAGACGAAGGCAGCTCTCACTCCCATCTTCCCGGGGTCCCTCTGGCTGCTGAGGGTGGATGGGTGGAAAAGCATCTTTCAGGGAAGTGGAGGCAGGGCTGGAGCAGTTGAACATCTGACTGGGCCAAGGGTCCAGGGACTGGCATGGAACAGGGCTGGGTGGGTGAGGCCGCCTGGGAGACCCCAGCTTGCCTCTGTTTCCCCCTGTACTGGGGCCTCCTGCGTGAACCAGCACTGGTTTTTCCAGTAACTGGAGCCACAAGCCTCCCTAGGAACGGCTGACCCATAAGAGGACGTCCTCAAGGTCCCCAAGGGCTAGAGGCTGAGATGCCGCCTTCGCCTGGGCGGGCCTCGCAGCCTGGAGGCACGCGGTGGTGCAGCTCGGGCAGGCCCCGTCCACACGCCTCCCCGCTCTTCTGAGCACCACGCGTCCCGTGGGCTCCCTACCCGTCCTGATAACACGGCGGTCCGGGGGCCTCGAAGCCGGTCTGACCCCAAGTACCCGGGCCAGGCGGCTGCCGTCTTGTCGCCCCAGCCCATCCCCTCAGCCAGCCCGCCTGGCGGCACGGGACCTAGCCCCAGTCGACTTAGGGGGAAACTGAGAACTCCAGAAGTTTCGTGAACTCCCTGGCTTCGTCCGCATCCCGCCCTCTGCCTCTTCGCTCGGGCTTCAAAACTGCCCCTCCGACGCCCGCCTGCCCCAGGCCGACCTGGCCTAGGCGCCCGGCAGGCACAGGAGCCAAGGTCAGTCCCCGAGGCCGCCCGCGCGACCGGAGCCGCCTCCTCCCAGCCCAGGGGCGGCCTCGGGGGCGGCGGGCGCGCGGCCGCGGCGTGGGGAGCGCTCCCATTGGGCCGTGCCCCCACGTGACCCAGCGGGTCCGGCGCGCGCCCTAAGCCGGTGGAGCCGCGGCCGCGCCTGTGCGCGAGGGCGCGCGCGTCCCGAGCCCTCCACCCGTCGTGCCGGCGCCGCCCGGACCGCCAGGTCAGTCTCCTCCGCGCCCGCTCGGGGCGGGGGCGCGCGGCGCTTTGTGGAGGCGCGTGGGGGGCCGTCCGCGCGCGAGCCCGCCGCCCGCTCCGGGCACGGCTTCGGGGCCGCGCAGCCGGGAGGGCCGCCGCCTTCCCCCTGCCCGCGCGTCCCGGGACCCTGCGCCTGGCGGCCGATCCGGCGGGAACGTGGGCCTGGAGGCTGCCACGTGCCGGGGCCGAGCCTCAGGAGGCCGCTGTTTCCCCAGGCGAGCCACAGAACACCCCTGGCTGGAAGGGGGTGACCCGCTCCCGTTTCTGGGTGCGCGGGAGACCTCCTACCCTGAGTTCATCCTGCGCAGGGTCCCGCCCAGGATCTGGCTCTGCCCCCATTCACGGCTCATTTTCCTCAGCTGCACAGTTTGGGGGGCTGGAACCCCACAGCCTTCCGTGCCTCCAGGGCGGGTCGTAGATGTCAGTGGAGGTCAGGGGAAAGCAGAGCGTCAGGTCTCAGGCCGGGTGGAGTCCGCCTCAGACCATACCAGTGTTGGGACTCGGGCGGCGCCTCAGCCCTCCAAGCACACCCCGGTAGAATCAGGTCAGCAGCCTTGATCCACGTGCCTCAGGGATTAAACGGGTGACTCCTGACACGCCCCTGGGCAGCTGGTGGCCCAGGGGTGGGGTGGTGGCATGCTTAGCTCCAAGTGGGCAGAGCAGTTTCACCCTGCCGGTTCCCGGAGGGAAGCCCTTTATGAGGGAGGCTTCCCTGGCCCTCTGTGATAGCGGCTCCAAGGGCAGCGTGAGGTCCAGGCTAGCTGGTCACAGTGTGTGCCCGGGCACCCTCAGCCAAGACAGAAAGGCACGTGCTGCACCCCCTCTCTCTGCCTGCGGGCTCTGGGGTGTGCCCCGCACACGATGGTGGGTGTTGGGCATCCACCTAGTCTGTGGACCCTGGGGGCCCTGCTCCCAGGTTGGAGCAGTGTCCTCGGCTGCAGACCAGAGGAGGTCACTGAACACAGGGTGCCTGTGGCCTTGCACAGACAGAAGCCGCCTGGCAGCCCTGTGCAGAGCCGTGCTTCACTGAGTTCCTGCAATCCTCCCAAGAAGTTCGTTAACCCCATTTCTCAGATGAGGAGACTGAGGCCCACAAAGGTGGAGTTGGTGCAGCCCCTAGCCTGCGGGGCTAAGCAGAGCCTTGTTGTCCCCATCTGCAAAGGGGGCGTTGGAGCTGCTGTAAATGGGCCCCGAACCTGTCACCTGAGTGGAATTAGGCATTGGGGATCTCCCCATCACCACGCCGGCCCCCCTCACTGTGGTTACGAAGGAGGAGAAGCTGCCCTGTGTAGGAATTCCTGGGCTGTTTCCAAATAGCCCCGCTAGGGAGCTGGTCACCCCTCAACACCCCCAACGTGTTCTCCAAGCACTTACTCTGTGCCAGGCCCAATGCTGGACCTGGAGATGGGGCATGGCTGGCTGGCTGAGCGGGGCAGGTTGCGGACAGGCCCCCGCAGGCAGTCGGCGTGATGGGAGAAAATGCAGGCGGGGATGAGATGCAGCCTCCAGGTGGTTTCCTCAGCTGCCTGCTCCTCTCTGCCTTTGCCCTCCTCCCGGAAGCTTGCGCTGACCACTGGAGTAAGGCTGGGGGCCTCAGCTGGTCCCCTCTCTGTCCCAAGTAACAGCCCAGAACATGGTGAGGGTGGCTGGCTGATGCAGTCAGGCACTGGACATGGGAGGCAGGAGGAAGGCCGGGAGGTGGGCAGCTTTCTCAGACAAGTGGGCAGTTTGGATGGCGAGGAGGTCTTGGAGGCACCATGGGTGGCTGGGCTCAAAGATGACATGAGGGCATGCTTAACAGATGCTTAACCAAATCCTGAATTGGCATTGGCCAATTTCTGTGGTGTAACTACTCCCAAGCTACACAGACGTGACTTTACTGGCTGAGGACTTGGGCAGAGGTGCACACAGTCAGACTGAGAGGGGGGCATAAGCTGGTGTGAGCCCTCCCTCTCACCGCCAGGGTGGGCAGAGTGTCCGCTGGTGCCCAATGCCTATGCACGTGACCTCCTTAGGGACTTACATCCAGATGGCGGTGATACAGCTTGGGGAGGCCTCTCCCTGGTTGGCAGGTCCTGGCGAAAGGGTGAGTTAAGTGGAAAGTGTACCAGGCTGGTGTCCAGGTGGCATTTGGCCAGAGGGGCTGAGCTGGGAGCTCCTGGGCCTGGGGCTGGCAGATAGTGGTGATTTTTCGCCCCCCAAGACCTTGGGCTTGCCTTGTTCCATGAAGGTCCCAAATCTGACCAAAGGCTGTAACCAGATGGTCACTGTCCCAGACCACCCCAGGGCGCTTTCTCACCTCGAGAGCACCGTTTCTCCCCACCTCCACCCTGGCCGCCCTTGCTGTCACCTACTCCCTCTGGTCCCTGGCACCCCTCCCTGCCTGCAGTGGTGTTTCCTAGCAAGTGCAGCAGCCCGAGGCTGGGCTAGAGGCAGGAGGGCCTGGCCTCCCAGTGTCTTGCTGGATACTTGGTTTCTTGCCCCTCCGTTTCCACACCTGTAAAATGGGAGCAATGACAGGTCTTCCTGGCAGGACAGTGGTGAAGCTTGGTCACACGGGTGAACATGTGTGAGGTAAAAAAGACTTCCCATCCCTCCTTCTGACCTGGACCGGCTCGCAGGACCCATAGGCAGGGACCTGGGCAAGGTCCGAGGGCCGATGAGCCCCGTCCTCTCTGCACAGTTCAGAGTTGGGTGGGAGTGGCTGTGGGCTGCAGGAGGAGGTACTGCACTTCGCACAGTTACGTGGTCGGGTTGGCATCGCCGCCGCCTGACTTCGGCGCCCCGCGAGTTGGGTGTGTGCGGTTGGGGGCGGCCCAGAGTGTGCCCCACGCCTGCCAGTCGGGTAGGCCAGCCTCCCTGGAGAGAGGGGGGCCTCCCCAAGGTGGGACGGGGACAGGGACGGGTGCTTCCTTCCACCCAGGAGCCTGAGCAGAGGGTGGAGGGTCCTGGCAGCTACCTACGGCAGCTGAGAGCTGCGCTCTTTAGCCGAGCGGGATCAGGGCTACGTGGACACAGCCCGTGCCAGTGTGGGTGGGGCACGAGCTGTGGGTTCCGATGGCCCAGTAGGCGTTCACCTGGCAGAGAGTGTGCGCGTGTCTCCCCTCCTTGGGGCGCCTCAGGTCAGGACCCTGAGAACCTCACTTATCCTTTGAGCTGCGCCAAGGCTGTTGTACAAAAGACAGTTCAGAAAATAAGGACAGGCTGTTCCTCCCAGCCAAGGGTGTGGCCCTAAGGACCCCTAGGTGGGGCATCGCTTCCCGCCAGGCACGTGCCACTCAGTCTTGGGCTGCTTTAGTGGCAGCCTCCTGGTTTGGAAGCGGAACTGAGGGTCAGGGATGACCACATGGCTCAGGGCTCAGCTGGGGTCCTGAGAGTGGGCCCTCAGGTTTACCTTCCTCCTGGAGGGGAACTGGGGGCCATTGCCCAGTGCACCCCCACTTCCCCTTAGGTGCGTGGGCCACCCCTCCCTCCTGCAGCCCCCGTTCATCTACCCGGGGTAGGTGCATGGGCCACCCCTCCCTCCTGCAGCCCCCGTTCATCTACCCAGGATAGGTGCATGGGCCACCCCTCCCTCCTGCAGCCCCCGTTCATCTACCTGGGGAAGGTGCGTGGGCCACCCCTCCCTCCTGCAGCCCCCGTTCATCTACCCGGGGTAGGTGCGTGGGCCACCCCTCCCTCCTGCAGCCCCCGTTCATCTACCCAGTGGGGATGTCCCCTGGCTCCTCTCCTGGCATCTTCCCGGGATGTAGGGGTGCTCCCATGCCCCCCGGCTCCTCTCCTGGTGTCTTCCCCAGATGTAGGGGTGCCCTCATGTCAGGGCTTATGCTTCTAGAAGGAGTGGAAATGCAGCACAGTCATTGCTGTTGCCTGCCAAGGGCCACCCTGGCTGGGGACAGATGGGGCTGCCTCCCCTCTCCCACCCTGTCCTGGCCACCTGCCCCCGCCAACCCTGCCACTGGCTCAGAGGAAGCAGGCCTAACCTGATGTGTAACCCCCACCCCTGCCGTGACTGTAACCCCGTGCCATGTGAAGGTGGGGCTCCTTGGCAGTGCCTGGTGATTGCGGTACAGCCAGAACCGGCCCCATTATCTGGGCTGTGGGTGCCATTGGTCAGGACCGTGATGGACTCATACGTAAAACTTGATGCATTTTAACTCCCTTCATCCTAGAGGATTGAGACCTCTGGCGGGTAAGTGTTCATATTACCGTCCTGCCCTAGAGCCAGGGAAGGACCCTAGGGGAGAAGTGACGTGCCAGGGTCACTGCTGGGAGGAGAGCAGGAATTTGAACGCTGGCCATGCCTCCTTTTTGGGGAAAGGTCAGTAAATGGGCAGGGGAGGGTGCTGGTCATTTGGGTGATGGTGCCAGTGGGGTGAGCAGCTCCAGGTCATCAGGTGGTATGGAATCTGGCCCCGGGCAGCCCGTCCAGCATTCCTCTCTCACCGAGCCCACAGCCCTGGAGCACCTACTGTGTGCCTGCTCTGGCCCACTGGGAACAGGACAGTCCCGAGCCCTGCCCCGAGGAGCTGGCGCCAAGTGGAGCAGCTGCACCACAGGCACACGGGGGACAAAGGGCACCGCTGATGATTTGGCCAGGAAGAGATGAGGTGGGGATGGGGGCTACAGGGTGGGGAGACGGTGGCCTCGGGAAGGGCTAGCTTGGCCACGCCAGCTTGGTCATGTCACCTTCTGAGTCTCAGTGTTCCCTTCTCACGTGGGACAAGACCACGCATAACCCGAGGGGCTGCATGTGTGGAGCCGACAAGCTGACGTGCGGGTCCTGAGTGCACTGAGCCCGCTGGGGTTCCAGACACAGTGGATGAACGATCCAGGGAAGGAAACAGCCTGGGCTGTGCTCTCTGGGACCTGCCCTTGAGCCAGGTACTCCTGTGGGAGGGTAGCCGGGCTGGCTGGGGGCCTGGAGCCCACAGCCTCTCCTCCCTTGCTGTTTTCCCGGCCAGGGAGGAAGCCAGGCTGGAAGACCCCAGAGGGCTAGGGGGATGAACACAGGTTGATCTGTGTTGAATTTGGCTCTAGCCACCTCCTCAGGGCCAGAGCGGCTCCTGGAGCCGGAGTGAGAGCTGTGTTACACGCAGGGAAGCCGGGGCTCGGGGAAGGTGGCTGCCAGGGTGTGCAGGGCTGTGCCAACCTCATCCTGGTGGGTCCCTGTGACAACAGGACAGGCTGCCTGCCCATTGTACAATGAGAGGCTGATGCTCTGTCACTTCATGAGGTCACACAGGCTCCAGGCAGTGGGGGGCTCTCTGAAGGAGGTCCCAGTGACCTGAATGGAGCCCCCGGGTGGGCTGAAACTTCTGCCTGTAAGGCCTGTCCTGGGTTGGGGTTGGGTGGGAGAGGGCAGGAGTCCTGCTGGGAAGGGCCTCTGCCATGCCCAGCTCCTACCACAAGTACAGAACAATGACAACTCCGCCACCTGGCTGCCCCACGCTGGGCACATGCTCCCCGCTGGCCTCAGTTGGGAGTCCAGTGAGTCAGGAGGTGAAGGTGGGGTGCACGTCCCCTGCAGACCCTCACAAGGCAGGTGGCGGGGCGGGTATTGGTCATGAGAACCCTGCCTTGGGGCCTGAGTGCCTCGGTGGCTGTGGAGCCTGGTTTCGACCTCTTTGGGACCAGTGTTCTTGTCCATAAAAGGCAGTGATCTTTCTGGATAGTTCAGAGAGATTCTGTTATCTTTGCCCATCAGAGCTGGAAGGGAGTTGAACAAAATGTTTTGCAGAAATTGGACCTGAGTTGGGCATTGCTCCTCCTGCTGCCCCTGGTTCTGAGGGCTTGGCACCACTAGCCCGCTCTCTGTCCAGGGTCGGCCCGGCTCCTGCCTTTATCATGTGTGAGCCTCGCTGTGTGTGGCTCAGTCCTGGACGGGCCGAGACCTGGATGCAGGACCCTGGACAGTCAGCGCAGGCGGAGCAGGGAGGGAGGCGTCTGCCTGAGGCCTGCTTGGAGGTGCCCAGGCTGGAGCCCTTGGCCCTGGAAGATGTGGTCAGGGCCCAGTGGTGTTGGGATGGCCAAGAAGAGGGCCCCTGTGCCTTCTGCCCAGGGCTTGGCCTAGCCAGTGCTCAGGGTTTATTTGCTGGATGAGGGGTGGAGTGGGCCAGTGGGGCCCAGGTCTCCTGCTAGGTGACCCTCAGAGGTGGGCATAACATCCCTTGGAGTCTCTGCTCTGCACTTGCCAATAAGAGGCTGGACCATTTGAGTGGTTATAAGTTGGGAAGCACTCCCTGATTGCTTGGTTCTGCTTGAGGCACAGCCTCCAACTCCCAGAGATTCCAGCACCCCTGCAGGAGCCAGCGTTGCTGATGTGGGCAGACGGGCGTCTGGGAACACCCCAGACTCAGCATACTAGGGTTCAAGTCCCTGACTCCCATCCTGGGGCATGGAGTGGCAGGAACCAGGGAATGTTCTAGAGTGAGGTGGTGAGGTGGAGCAGGGCCTGCGGGGATCAGATTTCCCTGGGGTGGGGTCCTGGAAATAGGGCATCAAGAGGAAGTCTCTAACCCTGGGAGTTGGAGGGTCTCGGGTCCATGGCTGAGGGTGGATGTGCTAGAACTGGACTCTGGAACCTGAAGACCCCCGGATGAGGGTGCTCAGGGCCTGGCTGGGGAGACTCTTGCCTTGTTCTCCCCAGTGTCCAGGCCTGGGCTGCCCAGGGGACACTTCAGTTGATGACGTCATTGTCCAGGAGGCTTTTCTCTTGGACCTCAGTTTCCCCTTCTGCAGGATGGGCTGGACCCACTCTGTCTAGCTCTACCACCCCCTAGTCCCTCTGGGGAGCTGCAGGAGCCTGTTCCCACGGCCTCGTCCTCACCCGCCACGGAGACCTCGAAGCCAGGCCTGGCCCAGCTAGAGGAGGTGACGGGTGGCCCTGCCCTGTCCCTGTCCCCATCTCAGTCCCCTTCCCACGGGACCGGTGCTCCCGGCTGCTCTCCTGGCCCTGGGTCCCTCCTGTGACTCAGGCTTCCTGGAAGAGGCTCGGGAGGGCTCGGAGGATTCCCCGCCACCCCACCCAGGGTTTCTGCCCGCCTGCCTCAGGTCCCTGTCACCACCCCTCCTGTGGCACACGGTGTGCTTTACCTGCTCATCCACTCCGCCCTTGCCCCTAGAGCCGGTGCCTCTTACTCCTGGCACCCCCACTCTGGCATCTTCTACTGATGCCTGGAACGCTGGCCCCCTCCTCTGGCTCGCCTGGTCCTGGGGCCCCTGCCAAGGCAAACATCTTCTCCTTTAATCTCCCCGTCCTGGGTCAGCCGCAGAGGCCCTTCCTCCCGGGCTTTGCTTCCCTCTGGCCAGCTGCCCAGAGGCCCATCTGCTGGGAATTGCCGTGTGGAGCTCAGGGGGTCCCTGGGGGTGCCCGGGGCTCCCGGCTGCCCCTCCCCTCGGTGGCCTCCCTGTCCCCTCCGCATGGCCCTGGGGAGCTACAAGGCCTGGCCCTGGCTCTGCCGACTCTCCCTGCTCCTGCCCTTTCTGGGCCTCCGTTTTTGTGTCTGGAGAATGGGGAGCCTGGGGGAGACCCCGGCCCCCACAGCAGATGGGTGGGATCAGGACAAAGGCCTGGCAGCTGAGCTCCAGCCACCTGAGCCAGGCTGCTTGCTTCTGAGTCGGTGACTGCAATGGATGGACGGGGTCCTGGTGGCATGCCCTTTACTCTCTTCCAGGCCTGTGACCTGGGGGAGGGCTGTCCATGGGTGCCTCAGTTTCCCTACCTGCCAGGTTGTGTTCTTGGGGCAGGCTGGGGACGTGCAATGGCAGCACTGCGGGACCCACAAGGAGCTCACATGGGGGAGAGGCGACATTTGAACAACGCTTCAAACATGTAGTTATTGTTTTCTCTTTTTTGAGACGGAGTCTCACCCTGTTGTCCAGGCTGGAATACAGTGGCACGATCTCAGCTCACTGCAAACCTCCGCTTCCCAGGCACAAGCGATTCTCCTGACTCAGCCTCCTGAGTAGCTGGGACCACAGGCATGCGCCACTATGCCCAGCTATTTTTTGTAGAGATGGCATTTCACCATGTTAGCCGGGCTGCTTCTCCTGGACTCAAGTGATCCTCCTGCCCCAGCCTCCCAAAGTGCTGGGATTACAGTGTGAGCCACTGCGCCCGGCCCACCACTGTGCCTGGCCTGCCTCTGCGCCTGGCCCACCTCTGCGCCTGGCCCGCCTCTGCACCTTGCCCACCACTGTGCCCGGCCCACATCTGTGCCCGGCCCACCACTGTGCCAGGCGCAAACGTGGTTATTGTTTTAGACACACATTTGGTGATGTTCATTATAAAAATTCAAACAGCCTGGGAAATACACGGCTGCAGTAGCTCTGGGCTTCTGCTTCATTTCACAAGAACCGTGCCGGCCTCGGGTGCTGTTTTACAGTGTCACTTGAAATTTCCCTGGGTGTTGACTGGGGTCCTCTCCCGATGGCACCCTTGGACCCTGGTCTCTGGGTCTGGTCAGATGCTTGTTTATTAACCAGCCATCCCCCCACCCCCATGATGGGCTCTCCTAAGTGAGGCCATGGACAGCCAGGATGTGCGTCTCGGCACCGGGGTGAGTCTTTCTTGGCCCGCTGGCAGAACCCTGGGTCAGATGGGAGGGTTGTTGGTGCCCGGCTGTGTGTCTGCCAGCCCCTTCATCCCTATCCTGGCTGCTGTGTAGCTCCTGCCTCCCCATAACTCTTGGGGGGCTGCCCGGGTCCACACTGGCCCCGTGGGGATGGCAGTAGGCAGAGAGGGGCGGTCCTGACCCCAGAGAAATCCCATGGGTGAGTAGGACTTGTAGGAGATGGCAGTTCCCTCCCTGGAGCATGTGTCCCCAAGACTTAGAGGTCGTGGTGGGGCAGGAAGCAGGTAGTCAGGGTGGGCTTTTGGGAGGAGATGGCATCACAGTACGGAGGGAGTCATGCACGAGGCACCAGGAAGGGGCAAGCCGGGTGAGGACAGGCTCCTCCTGGGGACCCAGGACCTGACGGAACGGCATCACTCTTAATGGCACCGTCGCGAGCCTCTTCTGGGCCAGCAGCCGGAGCTCACCCAGGGCACATCCTTAAACCTCAGGGTCCCCTGGTGGCAGCTGCCATGGTCGTCCTGTTTCCCAGGGAGGGAAGCTGGTGTCTGAGGCTGGCACTCTGCTAGGTAGCACAGTTGGGGAGTGGCAGTGCTGGGATGGAAGACAGACAAGCTGGCACCTGCACATCTGCACGTCCTGTCGTTGAGGTGACCTCTAGCCAGCCAGCTCATCTGCTCCTTTGCAGATGAGGCCAGAGAGACGGGAGTCTCTGGTGTGGAGGGGAGGGCACTGGGTTTGGTGGGCTGGCCCTGGGGTAACTTGCCTGCCTGTGCTTCAGTGTCCCCCTCTGTAAACAGGGTGTGACGTCCCCCCGGCCATGTCGGAGGCTCCGAGAGGGCAGCGGGTCCATCTCAGCAGATGCTCTGCTGACGGATGCTGCTGGCTGGCCCCTGCTCCCACCCTCCCCTCCTTTGGTAGCCTCCCTGGGCCGGGCTGTTCCCACGGCTGCCCAGCCACAGGAAGCCATCTGGAGGCCTTGTTTACCCCTCCCCCTGGCCTCCCTGGCAGGAAGTCACCGGAAGGGCCGTCCCGAGGGGCCCCGGGCCTGTGAGGACAGCCATCAGCTCAGAGGTCTGTGCTGTGGAGTCCCAGGATAGCATGCGGGGGCAGGGAGCTCAGAGAACAGCAGGTGGAGCGGGGCTCCAAGGCACTGGAGCACGTGGGCCGGAGCATGGACAGAACCATTTACCGAGCGCATCCATCTGTCCATCCACACAGTCACCTACCCCTCCCCCGCTGTGGCCCCAGCAGGGCCCAGTCCCATGAAGCTCACAGTCTCAAGGCATGGACGAGGCCACTCCAGCTTCAGCCCAGGGGGGCCCCGTGATGCCAGGGCCATTCCTCCAGCTCCCGGGATCCCACACCTCCCCTGATATCACACAAGCCACCCTGGGTCGGGGCTGGAGGAGGAGACCTGGGCAGCAGCTGGGGTGTCCAGGAGAAGGGAGTTGGGGAGAGGGGTGCCAGCAGAGGGTGCAGCCTCTAGAAACATTGGAGGCCGCCCTGGGTGACGGGTCTGAGGCTGCAAGGTGTGGGTGGAGCAGGTGAAGGGAGAGGTGGGCAGGCACAGCTGGCAGGGGCTGAAGGCATGGATGGGACCAGTCGGGGTACTTGTGGCCCTGCAGAACCCCTCTCTCCACCACCTCCTCCAGCCCTCTGGCGCCCTGCTCAGGGAGGGCTCCCCCAGATAACCCTGTAGGTCTGGACCCTCCTGGAGTGGGCTCAGGGGCCTGGGTTTCCACTCCACAGGATGGGTCCAGCTGCCCCGGCATTTGTGGCAGCCCCAGTGCCCACTGACAGGCCTGAGTGTAGCTGGCTAGGCCCAGGGCCTTTCCCACAGACACTGCCAGCAGGGACTACCTGGCCCTAGGGGGATCTTTGACCTCCGTGGGGCCTTGCGCCCTGTGTTCTTGGCGGCCTCGCGCCTGTCCCGGCCTCCTGCCTTCGGGAGCTGGGTGGAGTGGGGGCAGGCAGCCCTGCCCCCGCCCACATGGGGAGGCTGAGGATTGGCCCTTCCGCCTCTGGCTACCCCTCTTCCCCTCCCCCATACCTCCTGCTCCCCTTTTTCCTCACTTTCCCCCCACCCCTCCCCCCTGCTTCCGCTTTCTCATCCCTTTAGAAGGTGCCTACTCATGATCGTCTTGAGTAAAGCCCTCCCTGAGAGTGTCTTGGGGTTTCGGGCCTGGCAAGCATCCCCAGCCTCCCCTGAAGAGGAAGTGAGCGTGAGAACCGGGCCTTTGGCGGATCCAGGTGCCTGCGGGCAGCCCGGGGGCTTGTTTGTTGGGTGCCTGGCCAGCGGGCCGGTCCAGAGCAGGAATAGATGTCTCAGGAGGGTCCCTGGCTGGTCCCAAGCACCTCCTGTGTGCACCAGGGCCGCTGTTCTTCCGTCCAGCCTCCCAGCAGCCCTGGGGTGTGGGTGCCTCTGATTCGGAGGGAGTGACGGGACTTAGGGTTAGCCAGCTCCCCAGGTCAGAGACGCAGAGCCCTGGGCCAACCCCAGGATGAGCCCCATCAGCCTCTCCTTCCTGACTCATTCAAGATAGTAAGTGAAAGAGGGCATGCAACCAGCACGCAGCCCCAGAGGAAGGCTGCAGCGGCCTCGCGCGGGGCCAAGGAGGCTGGGCACCGTGTGTGCCGTGGCACTGCCCTCCCTGGTGTTGCTGATGCTGCTGAGATGGGAGAATGTTGTGGGATTCTGGGGGAGGCTCTGGTCTGAGAGTCCCGAGCCTGGGGAGATGGCCTGGCTGGGCCCAGGCTGGCCACAGGGGCACCCCAGACTTTTTTCCTGGGCATGGTGTACAGTAAGTCCTCACATCACATCATCCATAAGTTCTTGGAAGCTGCGGCTTTAAGCAAAACGATGCCAGTTTTAAGTGAAAATTGGTTTAAGGACACTAGTGTTCCCATAAGTTGATAGAGATAGATAAGAGTTAAGTTCCTGCCAGGTATTTCTGGTCACAAAAACGTCACCAGGCTTCCAATGAAGACCCCAAACACTTCTAACATTAAACACTGAAGTAAATGTGAGCTACACATACATGTAAGAAAAGTGAATTAAACAGGGAAGAGAATTGCTTCCCCAGCTTTCCGTGGGCCAGTGAGTGGTAACGGAACACACATCTCACGGCAACCATGGTCGGGAGCTCCTCCTGCCACCACGCACTTCAAAATCAAACGATCACAAACGTGGCGGCTTCCTGTATTGCCACGCATTCGTCTGACTATGTCTATTTGACGAATTTTTATTTTGCAATAATTTTTATTCATTTATTCATTCATTTTCCAACCCACTAATTCCAGTGCAGGGTCATGAGTGGCTGAGCCTGTCTCAGCAGCTCTGGGCACAAGGTGGGACCTGACTCTGCTCAGGACACCATCCCCTCTCGGGGCACACTCCCATGCACAGCCACACCCACTCAGCCAGGGCCACGGCGACACGCCTGTTCACCGGATGTGCACAGCACTGGGGTATGGGGGAGCCGGAGGACAGGGAGAAAACCCACACAGACCTGGGGAGCTCGTGCACATGCCACGCAATGGCCCTGAAAGGGAAGCGATTTTTTTTCTCGTCAGCGTTATCACAAAACCACGTTGAAAGCAACAGTGTTATTTGAGGAGCTGCTGTACTTGACGGATGGTGCAGGACAAGGTGGGCCCTCTTCGGGGCCTCTGCGCCTCTCCCCCTTTCAGGGGGTTGGGGTAGAAACTGGATCAAGGATAGGGGACTCTCATAGGATTGGAGGGTCCATTGGGGCAGGGCCCCCCAGCAGCTGAGGGCCTCTCTCCCCCTGTCCTGGGGTCCTGGGGTCTCTGGCCCCCATGAGTCCAGCTCCTGATTGCTCTGCCAAGTTTGCTGTCATGCCAGGAACTAAGCCTTTCTCCTCGTGAGCTCTCTTGCACCCACAGTATAGCCATGGTATTCAGTAGGTGCCCAGTAAGTGTGGGCTGGTGAATGGGCCTCCAGGGAGGTGGGATTTGGATGGACAGAATGGACGGGTCCTTGGGAGGTGGTACTGAGTCAGCAGAGGCTTGGGGGCAGAGCATCTCTGCAGAGGCAGGGGCTCCATCCTCAAGGACCCCCTGAGGGCCTCCAGGAGGAGGCAGCCATGGGGTGCGTGGGGAAGTAGGAGTGGCAGCTCTGAGTCAGCTTGTCCCAGCTCTGAGCTCCCTCCCGCACCTACCTGTCTCCACTGTGGGGGCCACACAGCCTTTACATATAAAGGGCATGGAGCAGCGCCTGGCACTCAGGCTGCCAGTACCACCAACTGGCAGCACTCATTGGGCACTGACTGTCTACATTGCCAGGAGTGTTCAAGAAGTAATTTAAACTGCCAGAAATCCTCATCCCACGGCATTAACTGACACCTGCTTTGGGCCTGACCCTGTGCCTGATCCTGGGGACCTGGCATGGGTCAGTCAACGCTCCCTGTCTGCCGCCCACAGTCCATGACAGGGACAGACAAGTCACGAACAGGGCTGCAGGGGCTGACCCAGGAATGAGCAGGACCTCTCTGGGACTGTTTAGGGCTTTGGCCCCCTGGTGAGGGAGCAGCGAGGCTGTGGGGACCCAGGTCCCTTGGGCCTTGCATGCCTGGCTCCTGATCCTGTGGGCCCCATGCAGAAGTGGCCCCCAGTTCTTTCTGGGTGCTTGGCATGTCCAGTCTTCCTTGGGGGCTCCCCAGGCAATTTTGGCTAGACACCCAGCAGACGCTCCTTCCTCCAGGCCCCCCAACCTCCGGGTCCCTGAGGTCGGAGCCAGTTTTCCCCAAGACCACCCAAGCAGTGACTTTGGGTCCACCCACAGATGCCCTGGTCACTGTGTTGCTGGGAGTGCTTGGGTGAGAAGGAATGGCTGCGGGCGGGTCTTCCTTTCTTCATCCTCAGCATCCTCATCCATCACTGAGGATGCTTGTCTCTGCCTTACTCCCACTCACAGGACAGTCGAATATGTTCACACATCCACTGAGCCAGCACCTGCTGTGTACGGTGCCCATTGAGAACCAGGGAGCCGAGGGTGGAGCTGTGGCCGGTCTCTTGTCCTGCGTGGGGAGAGAGGCTGACAAGCTTTGCCAGAAGGGGGACAGATGATCCCTACTGTGTGTGGGGGACAGAGGACAGGTCTCGGTGGCTAGCAGGAGGAACAGGAGGATGCTGAACCTGAGATCCGAGTGGTAAGAAGGGGCCAGCACCGGACGATGTGGGGACAGAGCATGCTCCTGGCCTCCAGCACAGGCAGTGCAAGGGCTCGGAGGCAGGACTGTGCTTGGCAAGTTGCAGGAACAGCTGGGAGGCAGGTGAGGCTACAGCAGATGAGGAGAGGGGAGTGGTAGGAGGTCAGAGGGCAGGGAGCAGCTCGCGTGGGGCCTTTAGGGCGATAAGGATTTTTGGCTTTCCTGAGTGACGCGGGCACCACTGGAGGCTTTGAGCGGAGGGGGCTATGATCTGACTTAGGTCGAGGACACTGGTGGGGGCAGTGGTGGGGATACCCAGGATGCCAGATGGGTATCCCAGATTCTTGGTGACCCTCGGTAGCCCCTCTGGGCGGTGGCTTTAGGCATCTGGGCTCAGGTGTCACCATTTCACTTGTCGGCCACCCACGGCTGCTTCCTGCCCCATCTGGGGATTCCGGGGACTTTCCATTTCCTCACCTTGCACTTGATTCTGTGATGTGCCTGGACTGGGGATTGTGGAGGCCTGTCCGTGCCCTGAAGCACTTCTGAGAAGCCGGGGAGCAGTTCCCTGGGGTTTCCCCTGGGAAGTCCTGCCGTCCTCTTTCTGCTGCCACCCAGAGCCCGCCCTTTCCGGAGAGCAGTTCCCTGGGGTGTCCCCCTGGGAAGTCCTGCCCTCCTGCCTCTGGCCCTTGCTCAAGCCGCGCCCCCATCTGGATGCCCACTTCTTCCACTCTGCTCTGTTGGACCAATTAGGCCAACTCTGGGGATATGTGACCCCAGTGTTTGTGATCAAACGGGGCCCAGACTCATTGACATCCTGCGTGAACTACAGTTTTGGTAGAGGTGCAAGTGGATTCTGTGTGGCACAGAAGATGGCGAGTGGTGACGGCTGTGTTGCCTGCATGCCACCGACAGCCCGCCTCTTCTTTCCATCTTAATCCATCTTGCCAGCTCTCAAGGGCTGTAGGCACTTCGCCCTGAATCCTCCTCTGAGCCGGCTTTGCCTCCTGCTGTTCCCACTGAGCGAATTAAATAAGTCTTTGCCCTGTGCCCACTGTATGTGCAAGGTCATGCAGGTTATGCTTTGAACTTCCAAAAATGCGCTCAGAAATCTTTCCTGTCCTCTAGGGCCCATCTCTGATGCCACCTTCACCTTCTGGATTCTCTCCAGGGGAGGAGGTCAGGCCCTTGGGAGGTACCCTTTGCCCTCTCTGCTGGGGATCCTGGAGAGTCCCTCCCCAACTCCCCTGGCCACTGGGACCTCTCTTCCTCCCTGACCTGCCCAGCATCCTCCCTTGGCAGCCTGGCACAGCCCGGACAGAACCTAGAAGGTGTGGATTCTGCCTGCCTGCCCTGTGTCCCCACAGTCCACATGCTGGCCTGGACTCTCAGGCCTCCCCACCTCCAGTCCCTCTCCTGCCCTCTCCATTCCTTCACACACGTGGGCACAAAGCTGGGGCTTCTGTAAGGGTGCATCTGGTAGGACCTCAACCTCCCGTACCCAATGGGGTCTTGGGAGAACAGAAGTTGTGGGTGATGGTTAAGGTGTAGCCCTCTTCCCAACCTTGCACAGCCCCCTGGCTCAGTCCCTGAGGGTAAAATTCAGACAGAGCTGGAAATGACCCAAATGTCCATCAGCTGAGGATAAACGAAATGTGGCAGGCCCACAGAGTAGAACAAGCTTGCCCAGCCAGCAGCGCGGCCCAGGACGGCTTTGAATGTGGCCCAACACACATTCATAAACTTTCTATTTTTTTTTTTTGTAGATGGAGTCTCACTCTGTTGCCCAGGCTGGAGTGCAGTGGTGGGATCTTGGCTCACTGCAACCTCCACCTCCTGGGTTTAAGTGATTCTCCTGCTTCAGCCTCCCAAGTAGATGGGATTACAGGTGCCCGCCACCACACCCAGCTAATTTTTGTATTTTTAGTAGAGATGGGGTTTTGCCATGTTGGCCAGGCTGGTTTCAAACTCCTGACCTCAAGTGATCCACCTGCCTCAGCCTCCCAAAGTGGTAAGATGACAGGCGTGAGCCACCGTGCCTGGCCAAATTTGTAAACTTTCTTAAAACATCATGAGGTTTTTTGTTGTTGTTGTTGTTCATCAGCCATCATTAGCGTTAGTGTATTTTATGTGTGGTCCTAAACAATTCTTCCAGCGTGGCCCAGGGAAGCCAAAAGATTGCACACTCCTGCAGTAGAATATAGGCGGCCAACAGGTGGAGCGGGCACAGACTCAGGCTGCGCCGTGGCTGAGCCTTTACGACGCCAGGAGAAGCGAAAGGAACCAGGCGCAGAAGGCCACGTGGTGTGTGAGGCCATTCACAGCAAATGTCCTGAACAGGCAAGTCCACAGAGACAGAAAGCAGACTTGTGGTTGCCAGGGGCTGGGGGAGGAGGGGTGGAGTGACTGCTGGTGGGAGGGGGCGATGGAAGTGTTCTGGAATTAGTGGTGATGATTACACAGCACTGTGAATATATTAAAAACACTGAAGGTTACACTTTAAGATGGCTAAAATGACTGGGCCTGGTGGCTCACGCCTGTAATCCCAGCACTTTGGGAGGCCAAGGTGGGCGGATCACCTGAGGTCAGGAGTTTGGGACCAGCCTGGCCAACATGGCGAAACCCTGTCTCTACTAAAAATACAAAAATTAGCCGGTTGTGGTCATGGGCGCCCGTAATTCCAGCTACTTGGGAGGCTGAGGCAGGAGAATTGCTTGAACCCGGGGGCGGAGGTTGCAGTGAGCTGAGGTCGTGCCACTGCACTCCAGCCTGGGTAACAGAGCGAGACTCTGTCTGAAAAAAAAAAAAGACTAAAATGGTGGATTTCATGTGTTATGAATTTTATCTCAAAAAATAAATTAGGATAGCACCCCCGCCTACACAGACTCTGTCCTGAGCAGCTCTCAGAAGTCCGTAAAATAGGGTGAAAGTGTCGTTGCCCTGCCCCCGGGTTCCCAGTGCTGTGGGGACGTCACCAGCTGCTGGGGAACAGAGGGATGCTGGCACCCACCCAGGGCTCAGGGCAGGGCAGGAGCTTGGTGTGCGCTAGAGACTAGAGTGAGAAGGCCCTTCCCCGGCCCTCACAGAGTGCCTTGCCACTGGGGAGTTGAGTGAAGGCACAGACAAGGTTGTGAGGTACCCACGCTGCCGTGTAGTGTCACCACGCCCTGATGTGTATAACCTGTTTTCTTTGCTCATCTGGGTGGACTGGTGGGGCATTTGATTCTGGAGGGTGGGGTTCCAGTCTGCATGGTTCCCTGGGGATCCCTGGCCCCAACATGAAGGCAGTGTGGCCTGAGGGCCTCTCAGTCCCCAAGGTGCTGACCCACCGCTGCCTTTCCCGAGTCCTCCCTGGGCCCTGCTAGGGGAGGCCTGGGAGCTGCAGCATCCAACAGGCCCGTGTGAATGGCCTGGCCACAGCACTGCCAGACAGGGCAAAGTTCCTGGCCCGGGGCTGTCTCTGAGCCCTGGAGCTGGCGGGGTAGGGATCAGCTCCTGTGAGCTCCCTCCATCCCCAGATCCACCCTTCAGGTCCAGGGCTATTTGGTGGCAGCTCCTGGTGGGGCAGGGGGATGGGAGGGATGGGAGCCTCCATCTGTGGACCCGGCACCCAGTCTGCCTGCAGGCCTGGTGATTGTGGCCCGACCTCCTGCCCACCCCTTCTGGGCACCACGGCGATGCCCAGAGCCCCTGAGGGGCTGTGCAGGCAGGGCATAAGATGGCAGAGGGCTCCACATAGCCCCTAGGCTGGCAGGATGTGTTCTGAGCTGAGGTCCTCTGGAAAGCGCCTGTGGATTTCTGGCCCCTCCCTGGTGTGTTCCCCACCTGCCTGCTGAGCCTTCAGATGCCTGGGAGAGCAGGTCTCCCTTAGGTCCGCTGGTTCTGATGGTTCCCCTCCTTCTCTCCTGGGAGCTGGGCAGGTGCTCAAAGCGGGCAGTGCAGGCTGCCCAGCGTGCCCAGCTCCCAGGATGCACCATGTGACCCAGGCCCCCTCCTGCCCTGCTTGCGCTGGCGAGGGGCCGTGGCTGGGTGCCCAGCGGTGCCTGCGGGGGCCCACTCCCTGGGGCAGTGCCTGCCTGCCACCCACCTGGGCTGGGCATCCAGTCTGGCCTTGGCTGTTGTCATGGCAGCCAATGCCTGCAGCCGGGAGCTAAACTTGCTACCCTCAAGCCACTGTCACCACGGCTGTGACGAACATGGGGACATACAGCCTGGGTCGGGGAGGTGACCAGGCCTGGCTCTGCCCAGCCCCTGCTGCGGACGGTCACCGCGGTCACAGCCCACATGGCCTGCCTGCCACCCCCTCATGCCATGGCCTGGGCTGTCTGAGGTTCTGTGTCATGGATGAGGCCCCAGGATCACAGAAGTGCCCACAGCCACACAGACGGGCAGGAGTCGGGAGGCCCCGGCCCCCAGGCTCCCAGCCAGACTGGGGGAGTGGGGCTGGCCCAATCTGGAGTTGCCAAGGTGGGGTTCGGTGAGGCACCATTGTTGCTAGTGCCTGGTTTCAAAAACATTCCAGAAATGCCCTGCTGGCCACCTGCCTGGCTCTGAGGTCCCCACATCTGTGGAGGAACAGGGGCTTTAAGAAGCCCTGCGGGGAAGAAGCCCCATCCACGCAGGCTCCCCTGAGGGTTCTGAGGCACCTGCTGGGAACTGTGGTCTTCTTGGGGCGCTCGGTGTCCTCACAGCCCCTGTGGGTACCTGGCAAAGTGCCAGTGTTCCAGGGACTCAAGCGAGGCCTCTTGGAAAGGGTAATAATGTCCCTCAGATCCCAGGAGAAAACCAAGGGCAGGTCCATGAAGGACAGCCTTCCAGCGAACCCATCCTACAGACGAGCACACTGAGGCACAGAGGACAGCCTTCCAGCGAACCCATCCTACAGATGAGCACACTGAGGCACAGCGAGGTTGAGGGATGTACCCATCACACAGCTCACAATGGGGAGCCAGGAGGGGAACCAGGTCACACAGCCCTGTGTGAGGACAGTGGCCATGGGCTGAGCAATGGCCAGGCCTTGCGGGTGGAAAGGAGCTGTCCCCTCCCCTGGACCCCAGAGAACCCACCTGCCTTGGCTTTGAGCTGAGCTTTGAGCCGGGGTCACTGGCTGAGTCTCGCACCCTCTCTGAGCCTCAGGTTCCCCATTTGTCAGATGGGGAAGGCCAAGACCCAGGGTAGATGGAGCCTGAGTCAGTGCTGGCAGCACTGGCGTTGTGGGCTGGCAAGGCGTGGGGCACCTCTGTGTGCATGGGGTGGACCTGTGTGTGCCTAGCAGCCTCCCTGCCACAAACCACCCTCCTCCTGTATGCCAGGGTCACAGGAGCTGAAGACAGTGGCCGAGCCCCGCTTTTTCTGCCCCCTCTTGATTGTTTCAGGGACGAGGTCTGGTTCTTTGTCAACCCAAGTGCCCAGCACAAGGCTTGGCATATGGTGGTGGCCTGTAAAAGCCAGTGATGTGACTATGAAACCAATCCACTCATAGCACTGCACGTGCTTTTTGGGAGGGAGCTGGCTCAGAGAGGAAAGGCCATCAGCACTGGTCCCCCCAGTAGGATCTAGGCACCATGGGGAACCTGCGGGCCCCTCCAGCCCCTCCACCATGTGTCCTGGGGGTAGCCCTATCCCCCTGGGCCTCAGTGGCGCCGTGTGCACTGGCTCTGGGGGTGCCAGGCTGCGTCTCACCATCGGGCCAGCCCAGAAATAGCTGTGACCTTCCGCAGCCAGCTTGGCAGCGCTTGGGGCCAAGAGGCCTACGTGCATGCCGGCTGAGTCCCCTCACCGTGCAGGGCTGGCTATTTTGGACGTGGCCTCCCGAGGCCAGGTCAGAGCTCTTTCCCGCGGTTCCTCAGGCCCCTCTGACGTGCGTCCACTAGAGCCTCGGCCAGTGGCCCTGGCTAGCTCCATGATCTCGATCCCCCTTCCTGTCCCCGACCCCACGGGCCCTGGGTGGCACAGAGGAAGGGATCCCAGGGACTGAGCACAGGGTGACCGCGCCTGCTGGGGCTGACATGGAGTGTAGGGCTTGGCTGTTTTAAGAAGAAAATGCAGAGAAAGTGCCCACCCTGGGTAGGCCCTGAATCCTGTCTCAGCCTCTCAGAGCTCTCGCTGACTGCACAGCCTGAGCCTCGGTTTACTCATCCACAAAATGGGGTGATGGGCGCCTTCCAGGACTGCTCTGAGGATGGACATGGGCATTGCCTGTGCTGAGGGCACCACGCGAGGCCACTACACAGAGGGGTTCTTGGGCCTTCTCCGCCTTCCATGGGACTGGACACTGGGTTCAGGGAGGGGCGTCATGGGTATATGGGGGTGCTGCGCTGGGCAGTGGCTAAGCGTGGGCTCTTCCTTTTCTGTGACACAGCAGAGGTGTACATGCCTGCTGCCCTGTCCAGGGCGTCTGGGTATGGTGGAAGTGGCCCCAAGGTCCAGCCACCCTCAGGGACCACAAGCTTCCTGGACACCCTGCTGACAGGGTCCCACTGTGGAGGAACAGGCCGGCCCAGCTCCCCACCTCCCAAGTGAGCATGGGTGGCTGGGTGGGCGTGAGGGATTGGCTCCCCTGCTAGAGGGCAGAACTCCTGTTCCCGTGAAGGTGCTGGGTGGGGTGTGAGTCTGCTCCTGGGTTTGGGGTCAGGCATGCCAGGAACAGCAAGCAGGGGCTGCCTGCCTGCCTAGTGCTGGCTGCATGCTCATGGCCCTCAGGGCCCTGTCCCCTGGATGGTCCAGGGGTCCCGAGGAGGAGCCATGGCCTCTTCTCCGTGGAGAGGCCCTGTGGGCCCAAGGCCTGGCTCCATCCAGGCAGGCACATGGAATTCAGCCAAACTCTGGATCCTTTCTGCAGAGCAGGCTTAGCTTGAGCCCTCCCACAGCGAGCTCGCCCACTGCCCACCCTGCCCTCTCAGCCTCTGTGACAACTCTGTGGGCACTGCCAGGGGCAGTTCCTGTGTATTCTCATCTGGTGATGGGTTCATAATTCTCATGTTGTGTGGGTGACTAACAAGGTCTGGGAGCTCAGGAGAGGGGCCCAGAGGCACACAGCATGCACGGGACGGTTTTGCAGTTCCCAGGGGGCACCTGGGGTGGAGGCTTAGCCAGGCCCAGTGGGCTCAGGGCTGGCCTCATGCCCTTCCCCTGTTGTGGACCACTTTGGGGCCTCTGGCTGATGCTGGTGGGTGAGGACCTTCCTGGGCAGCCTCCTCCGGCCAGCAGGAGGGACCATCAGGCCATGCGGACCCTTGGAGAGCTTGGGGGTCGGTTCCTGCCCTGGAGTCAGCTGTGTCTGCTGAGGGTCCACTGGTGTGTGGCACAGAAGGGGTAGGGGCTGTGCCTGGTGTGCCAGGGAGGCCCTGAACTCTCCGGGAGGCCAGATCAGGGGCCTCCTCTGGGCCTGCTGGGGGCCTCTGCATTCTTGGCAGGGCCTCAGGGACTGGGGCGGGGAGAGGCTCCTTCTCAGAGGCTGTGAGCTCCGAATGAAACTCCATGCCCTCCGGGACACCATGCCCACTTCTGGGTACTGGCCTTCAGGGGCCTTGGATGTGGGTGGCATGGCACTGGCTAAATGGGGCCCAGGAGGAAGGCAGCAGGACCGTGGGCATGCAGGCCTAATGCCAGGGCCAGGGCAGGCTTCATGTGGGCTTCCTCCTGTCTGGAATCCTGGAGCCGCACAATTTCCGACCCAACACCCCGTACTCCAGAGCGACTGGCTCTTAACGGAAGCTGCTGCTGGCAGGTGTGTTATAACAGAGCTCTGGGGTGGGAGGCTGGGGGCAGGGAGGGTTAGGGCCGTCAGAACACGGCTCCCTCCTGCCCAGGGCAAGGTGGGGCCACGTGTGCGCATGTGAGTGGGGCACCTGGTCTGGGTGTGGCCTGGGAACCTGCATGTTACAGACGCCATGGCTTTGGAAACACTCAGGAGTCCAGCTGTGTCTGTTCCAAGATGGGTCAGGGTTGCCGCAGGGAGGGCAGTGACTGGTCCACAGCTGGTGTGGCTGTGCCATCCTCCTTCCAGCCTGGGCAGAGGCCTTCCAGGCAAGATGAAAGATGCGGTATGGACAGGAGGACATGGAGGATTCAGGGCTCTTGGTGTAAAGATGCTGTGTGGACAGGAGGACATGGAGGATTCGGGCTCACGGTGTCCCTGGAGGCTCTGGTGGGCGTCGTGGGGCTGGACTGCTGCGGGGCAATGGGGTCCCCATCTTCCCGGCACAGGCATCTGATCTGGTCATCTGTTTCTGTGGCGTGTGTGTGTGTGTGTGTGTGTGCACGTGAGCACACATCTCTGTGTATGCAGGTCAGTGTGTGTGCTTGCCAGAGCTTCCCATTGGGCGGTTTCCACACTGGCTTCTCAGTCATCCTGGGAGGTAAGGCATGAGCACTGGACTGGGAGTCCTGTCTGAGCCACCGACTTGGCCTGCCATTGTGGAGCTGTCCTGTCCACTCGCTGGACATTAGGCCATTTGTGTACAATAATCCCCTGAGATTTGTATCCTCCCATGGGGAGATCAAAAGGGGCCGAGTGTGGCCCTAGGGTCTGGGGGCCCAGCCTGGTGGGTAGACCTGGCTTCTGGGACTGTAGTGGTGGAAGGTGGCTGGGGCAGGGGAGGTTCACTCACTGGGAGGCTGGAAGAGGTGGCCCGGTAGGGAGAGAGAAGGGCAGCCAGACAGAGGGCACGTGGGAGCAGCAGCCTGGTGGCAGGTGTGTGAGTCTCTGCACCTGGCCGGGGTCTTGAGGAGCAGGAGAGGTTCGGGCAGGTGGCTGAGGAGAATGCGGGCACTGAGCTTGGGAAGAGCCCTGGACTGGGGGGGGGTAGGGACTGTTGGGCAGCCCCAGACTGGCACAGGTGGATCGGGTGCCTAGGCAGGGGGTGGTGAGTTATGGCGCAGCTGTCTTGGTGGCTGGGGGGAGCAGGGATAAGGGTGGACTTCTTAGTGACCGCTCTCTGCCCCAGGAGGTAGAGTCCTGGGGGCTGGGCTGGCCTGAGAGACGCCCCCTCATCCTTTCCAGGGTGAGGTACGAGGGCTCCGCCCCCTCCTGATATCACCAGGCCTAGGGCAGCATCCTGATGGGGGAGGGGCAAGTGACCCGGGCCCTGGACTGCAGGAACAGCCCCTCCTCCACTGGTGGAGTTCCCACTTCCTGCGGAAGGAACTATGTTAGAAGTTGTGTATATGGGGTGGGGGTTGGGTGTGGGTGGCGGGGGGCCTGGGTGGGGTCCACTGAGTCGCCTCCCCTGTCTCCCTGCACTTCCTCCTGGAGGAAATGGGGACAACAGGATGAAGTGAGGGCCTGCTGAGCCCAGGGCTGCCACCTGGGAGTGAAGCCGGGGCAGGCTGCAGGGTCCGGGCCCTTCTGTGTGGGCAGGTGGAAGTGGTGGGGATGCAGTGAGGCTCCCTCCAGCGCAGCAAGGAACGGGCCCTGGGACCCTCTTCCCAGCCTGCAGCAGGCAGTGGGGAGACAGGCCGGAGCCCTGGACAGCCCCCAGTCTTTCCCCACCCCAACTACAGGGCCTGGGTCTCCGTGCGCCATCCCCCTCCCGCCCCCTCCCGCTCGCTCCCGCTGTTACAGGGCCCTAGGGACCGCCCTGTCCCCCGTGGGCCCCAGAGCCCAGGCCAGCGCTGGAGGGACCCTCCTGCCCTCTGGCCGGGACCAGGGTGCCCGCCGCAGCCCTGGGACCCTGCGGCCCCGGTCCCTATTCGAGGCCCCAGCCGGAGCGTTCCGGGATCCTTCGGGGGAGTGCCCAGCCCCGCGCCCCCGCCTCCCACATGACTCCGGGTGGGCCCTTTTGACGTGCGCGGAGGGCGGGGGGCAGGGGGCGGGGCGGGGGGGCAGGGGGCAGGGGTGGTGAAGGGTAGGGGGCGTGGCGGGGAGAGGGGTAGGGGGCACGGCGGGGAGAGGGGTAGGGGCCGGGGGCGGGGGGGGGGGGGTTGGTCAGAGGGTCGGCGAGGGTGGGGGTGCGGGGAGGGGAGTGGAAGGCGTGGGGAGGGGGGAGCGACTGCAGTGGAGCGGGCAGGGCAGGGCAGGGCAGGGGAGGGGGGCGCGGGGGCGGGGAGGGCCGGCGCAGGCGGGGATAAAGCCCGCGGCGCGGCTCGGCTGACTCGGAGCGCGGAGGACCGGCCTGCCGGGTGAGTGTCTGCGCCGGCTTTGGCGGGCCCGGGACGTGGGACAGACCAGGGAGAGGGGCCCGCGAGGGGTCGGGGTGGGGGTGGGGAACCGTGCCTTCCGCGCACGCGCGCCGCTGGGCCTGAGCGTGCAGTCGGTCGGGTGGGCGAGGGCGCCGCCCTGGTGGCGGAAGCGCCTCCTCCAGGGCTCCCCCGAACGGCGGCGCCGGGACCCCGCTCTCCTTGGGCTCTTTGCCTCAGACCCCACGTGGCGATGACCCGGCCTCGGTGTGCGCGTCGGTGCGGAGGCCGGCCCTTCGAGCTGGGTCCCGAGATCGCTGACGTCTGGCCTCCACTCCCAGCCGCACCATCCGGAGGCGGGGGTGGGGGTCCAGGGGTGGGGGTCAACCCGATTCTTCTGCGGAGGAGAAAGCTCCCGATCCCCTCTGCTCGTGGCCTGTCTTAACAGCTGAGAGTCATCACGCAGTGGCCGCATGGTTTGTCCCTTATCACTCTGTCACTAAAGGAGGTCCTGTGAGCGGTCACTCCAGGACGGCAGGGTGGACCAGGGCTGCCTGGGTCACCCCAGTCACACAGGTGCCCTTGGAGGTGCCGTGGGACCGGAACCTGGCCACGCGGCCCCGTGGTTGGCATGGCCATTAGAGCAGATTCGACTCTCGCCCGCACCGGAGTGTGGACCAGCTTCACCTCCTCATCCTCACAGCAGCCGGGGAGGCTGCTGAACCCCGCTGTGCAGGGCACGTCAGCGGGGGTTCAGAGCCGCAGAAGCTCCCCACCCAATAAGCAGCGGAGACTCAGGACCTACTGACCCCGACAATCATCAGGCTCTGTCAAAAATCAGGTTCCCAATATGTGGCAAATGTCACAATTACTGTTAACACATGGCAGCTTAGGTGGTCATCTGCTCTTGGGTTTTAATCATCCCTGTGAGGTCTGAAGTCCCAGTGGCTTTCTGGGTTGGGTGGCCAGTCCCTGGCTGAGTTGAGGATCTGAGAAGCTGGCCTGGGGTGCAGTGGCTGAGTCCAGGCGTGAGTCTCCTGCCATCTGCTCAGCTGCTCTGCAGGCTGCCCGCGTGTGGTCAGCCTCCCCTGGGCTTGAACACATAAGGCTCTCAGGATTTGCTGGGGTGGAAGAGAAGGAGCCCTGGGCTTAGCACTGGAAAACCTGGTTTCCCGCGGCTCTGCCCCGTCCGGCCGGCCTCTGTGTCAAATGGGGCTCATAGGCTTGGGTCTGTGGTGGGGGTGACATCACGCATTGGGGCGGGGGTGGTGGAACATGGGGCATGAAAGGGCTCTGAGATGCCAGTGGGGACAGACTTGATGTGTGCTGTGCTCGTGGGGCTCAGTGGAGAGTCTGGTACATTCCCCACCTTGGGAGCCCATACCACCCTCTGGGAGGATCCTACCCTGCCTGAAGGCCACCTCCTCAGAGAGGCCTCTGTGATTGCTCCCCCCAGCAATCACAGGAGGGATGGGAATCAATGGTTCTGTGGGTCACATGCCACTTCCCATTGCCATAATCCTTTGCCTGGTTAGTGTGTGTCCCCCTGCCCCCACTGACCAACCAGTGCCCTCTGAGTGTGGGTGATGGGGTTTGCTCACCCCTGACCCCCACCCAGCACCTATCATGGGGTCTGGAGCCCAGAGGGTGTTTGGCAGGTACACGTATGAATGGAAACGTGATAGGGGAGACCCAGGCACTGAGGGTAGCTGCAGGCTTCCTGGAGGAGGAGGGACTCTGGTCTGGTCTTGAGCATGAGGAGGTGTGTCCTGGGACATTCTGGGCAGAGAGAAGAGGGTGCCTGGAGATGTGACTCCTATAATCCCTCCCCCTCCTCACCTGTGAGGGAGGCAAGGGCAGAGGGGCCATGGGCCAGGCTGAAAAGCCGGTACTTGGTGTGTAGGCCATAGGGAGCCATGGAAGGTATGTGAGCAGCAGCAGGGTGGGGGCCACCATTGTGTCTCCAATCCTGTGCCAGGCCTTGCCGTAGGGGGGTGGCTTGCCGGGTGGGTGGGCAGCTGACATGGGCTCTTGACCCCAAGTCTAGTCTGGGCTGGAGGTGGGCTGCCCACTTACCAAACCTCAACCAAGCTGCCCTCAGAGACAAGCATGCGTGTACCTCCCTTGATACCTGCCCTGGTGAGGAGGCTGGGCTGGCTGGCTGGGTGAGGGTGGGGGACAGGAGGGGTGGTAGACTAGAGACCCCAATCAGGTGGGGAGACCAGTGGGCCCCTGGGGCCTCGATGGTGGAAGCAGGGCTGGCCCAGCGGTGGCCCTCTGGAGGCAGATCTGTGCTCTCCCATTTGGTTCTCTGGTTGGGGTCCTGAGCTGCCTGGGGGTGTCAGGGACATTGACAAGGAGAAGGCATAATGACATGGGTGACAGGCCCTGAGACCTGGGCCCGCAGCGAGGCAGGGGTCAGGGAGGCAGCGGCCAGGGGCTCACTGTGGCCTCGGAGGATGCCCAGGCCTGGGTGGCCCATTCCTCGCTGGACCCAGACCAAGACCAGAGGAGAAGGGGTGGCATCCTTTCTGGGGTTTGGGGATACAGGGGCCACGCAGGCAGCACTAGGCACTATTCTGAGCACTTTTCATGACCTGATTCATTTATTTCCGAGGAAGAAGCCGAGGTGCAGGGAGTGGCTGTTACTAGGTAGTGAAGATTCCCCTGAGGAGGTGGTGTTCCCAGGAGAGCATGACCCAGGCTGGGAGGTGGGGAGGGAGCTTGCAAGGGTGGGCTTGGAGGGGAGGTGGGCAGCCCTGTGGAGGCAGCTTGTGGAGGCCTTGGTTAGGCCGATGGCTGGGGACAGTAGGGGGAGTGGAGGCCTGACGGCCCTGGGTCCTGATCTGCCTGCCGTGGCGGTGTCTCCGCTGTGAGCCAGGCATCCTACATTCTAACCCTGTTTGTGACAGCCTGGGAAACTGAGGCACAGGTTGGCATGGGGTCTCTTTGAGGAACCAAGTGGCTTGGCTCCAGGGAGGAAGTGACCCCCGACTCAGTAGAGATGCCAGCATGTGGGCACCCTGGACCCCTCCCTGGAAACTCACGATATTGTCATTACCTGGCCCACCCGCCCGGGGAGTCTGGGAGGCAGCTTGGCAGGGCAGGGGGTGGAGGGGTGGCTGGGCAGCCCCACCTGGGAGGGCAGGAGAAGGTGGGCAGGCTGTGTGCTGTTTCTGTCCATTTCTTTCCTGAATCTCCCAAGCTTAGCCCAGCACCTGGCCCTTGAAGGTGCTCAATACATATTTGTCAAATTGGATGAATGAACGGATGAATGAATGGATGAATGCCTGGTCTCCAGTCCTCGTTGGTGGGAGTCTTGTGGTCCAGGGTGGGAGTAGGGGAGGCTCAGAGGCACTGCTGAGCCTCAGGAGGGTGCAGGGCAGTGTAGAGGGCAGGACGCCCCCTGCAGGGATGGGGAGGTGGGTGGTGGGCTTTGTACAGGGCAGGCAGCCCAGGATGCAGGCCTTATGTGCCGGAGTGTGGCACCGTGTGGTGTCAACAGGTGGCCTGGCTGGCAGTGGCTGCTGGGATGCTTTCCAAGCACTGACACCCCCATCCCGGCCCCCAGGAAGGGCAGGTGGGGGGCTGGGGTGCTGGGGGAATGACAAGGGCAGGGTGAGGGGAGTTGGGAGGGGGGCCTGGCTGTGTCACGCCCCCAGGCAGGGAAGATGCCCTACCTGTTCTGCCACCAGGTGGGCTTCTAGGGTGGCAGAAGGGGTGAAGGTTTGCATGGCCACATTTGGGAGTCACACTTCCCCTGGCCGTGCCTCAGTTTCCTCATCTGAGCTGCTGCCAGAGGCCCCGTCTTCCAGCTGTCAGTGTCCACTGTCCCCTTGTCCCCTTGTCCCCTCGACCCCTCAAGACCCCGGTGAGCCAGGGCTTGCCATACCTTTTACAGGTGGGGAACCAGGGCTCAGAGGGGAGAAACGGTCACAGGCAGCACTGGGCTTGACCCTAGGCCCTATGAGCCCAGAGCCCAGTCCTGACTGCCGTGGTTTGGTGCCACCTTGTGAGTGGGGTCAGAACCCCTCCCTGTGACTGTCCCCCTCTTCTACCTCCTCCCCCTGCCACCTGTCCTTCCTTGCTCCTTTCTTCTGGCATCCCAGGTCCCATTAGGGAACGGTCCAGGCCCACAAGGGTGAGGCTGGCCGAGCTGAGTCCAGGTGGAGAGGGCTGGGGCTTGGTGCTGGGCTATGGGGGTAGGGGTCTGAGTCCTGGGTTGGGATTGGGCATCGCAGGAGGCCATAGTGTGGTATTAAGCACCTCCTGGGGTCAGGTTTCTACCCATCACCTGGGTGGTTCTCCTGGTGCCATTGGAGGTTGGGAGGCTCCGGGTGGGCCTGGCAGGGCCTGAGTGGCCACAGATTTGGGAGGCTCCTGGTGCTTGGCGGGCATCACCTGCTGCCTGCCTGATGCTGGGTGCCTGGGGCCCAATGGCAGCCTGAGTGGAGCCCCATGGCCTCATCCATGCTCTCACCAGGTGCCCACCTACCCGCCTGCCTGTGGAAGCAGTGGTTACAGCCCCCAGGTCTGTGGTGGAACTGTGACCTGCCTGGGCACTGCTGGTGGCTGGCAGCATGTGAGCAGCTTCAGGAGGAGCAGGGCAGGCCTCCTGGGTTGGCAAGTTAGCGAAATGCCCCAGGAGGCACTGTTAAAGCTGTGTGCAGCCTGGACGGGCAGCAGCTGAGCACAGGGGCATGTCCTTGGAGCCCACAGTCGTCTGTAGATGCCCAGTGGGTAGAACCCGAGCCGGCGCCCAACAGCTCCGCTTCCAGGCCGCAGCCAGGCACCCCATGACTGGCTTGGAGCTGGCACCATCTCGGAAGGTGGCTTTCCTTTCTGGCAGCGTCTCTATTTGTAAAGGCAGCCATGGGCCCCAGAGGGCTAGCACTGGCCCAGGGTCACACAGGGAGTCGGGGTAGTGGGTCAAGCCTGATGTGAGACTCCAGGCATCAGGAGCATGCCTGCCTCCCCAATGGCCAGTTCCTCCAGGAAGCCTTCCCTGACCTCCCACCCTCCAGATCACCTGCCATCCTGGGGCTTCTGCTCAGGGGCTGTCCTCCTGCTGGTCCCTGTCCCTGCAATGAGTGCTCAGAAGCACCAGAGAGGGGGCCTGGGACCAACAGCTTGGGAGGCTGCCTGGAGGCGGAGGGCACGAGGGCTGCTAAGGAGTAGTGAGGTCCCCATCACCAGAGGTGTGCAAGCTGGTGCTTAGGTGTGGCGTAGGTGACCTTTGAGGTTCCTCTAGGCCTCAGGGGTCGAGATTCCATGATGGGTTCTGGATGTGTCCCAGATCTGGATGTCTGCCCACAATGTTGGGTCATTTGCTCCTTCCACAAACAAGTGGGAGCCCTCTTGGTGCCAGGGCCTATGTGGGAGGTGGGGTGAAACTGAGGATCTCTCAGCCCTCCTCCAGTTGGGATGCCTTCCCTGGGGCCTGTGAAACGCTACTCTAAAGGACACATAGCAAGGGGAGAGGGGATGGGGTGGGGTGGGGAGAAGGGATGGGGGTGGGGTGGGGATTGGGGGTGGGGTGGGGTGGGGAGAGGGGATGGAGTGGGGTGCGGAGAGGGGATGGGGCGGGGTGGGGAGAGGGGGTGGGGTGAGGGGGTGGGGTGGGGTGGGGACTGGGGTGGGGTGGGGTGGGGAGAGGGTGTGGGGTGGGGTGGGGAGAGGGTGTGGGGTGGGGTGGGGAGAGGGGATGGGATGGCATGGGGGGATGTGGCAGTGAGGAGGCTGGGCCCTTGGAGCTGCCGAGTGCAGGGGCCTGGAGGACTCCGGGAAGGCGTCCTAGTGCATCAAGCGTGGGCTTGGCCTGCTTGGGTCTCCCCTCCTGGCCCCCCTAGCAATGGGCGGACTTGGGCCCGCTCTGGGAGGATTCCAGGAACGGCTCCTGCCTGGTTATAAATAGACTTCTCCGAAAGGCCTGGGGCTGTGCCAGCTGCAGCAGGTGCCTCCCAGGCCCGGCCAGAGGGCCCCAGGCAAGGGGGTGGAGCCCGGGTGGGGGTGATGAGGATGCTGGGGTCCACTTTTGTAGCGCCAGAGGCGACGGGCTCTGTCTGGTTGTAGCATCACAGAGCTTGATGGGAACTTTCACTCTGAGACCCCTTTTATGGATAAGAAAACTGAGGCTGGGGGGCAGGAGCAGCTTACCCCAGAGGTCCTCTCTCCCAGAGGGCTAGGGTGGGGATAAGCAGGGTCTCGGGGGCAGCAAGACCCAGCTCCAAATGTGGTTTTTCTGCCTTCTGGCTGTGTGACTCAGAAGGGTTGCTCAGCTTCTCTGTGCTGTTATGGTTTGTCAGTGCAGTGTGGCAGGTGTGTGTCTTGCTTGTGGAATGCAGTGTCTAGCCTGGTATCCTTAGAAAGTGGCTGAGGTTGGAGATTGGTGGGGCAGAGTCCCTGAAGCTGACCCATTCTTGCCTTCAACCTTCAGGGAGACGCTGCTGGAAGTGGTGAGCTGAGAGCACTGGGCAGGAGTCAGAGCCTAGCGTCTCCCTGTGGAGCTGGGTGCACCCACGTGGGTGGGTGCCCTTGCCAGGGAGCTCACACCCTTGGGGGTCCATGAGCTGGCAGGCAGGGCTACCTGGCTTGGTGTGCCCTTGGGTGGAGGCTCCCATGGGGCCCTTCAGACTGGGCACAGCCCTCCTGTCCTCTGCTCCCCAGCCTGCTTGCCCACCTGGAGGTGGGAGGAGGCGAGGGTTGCCGGCACAGCTGGGCCAGGCTGATGGTGATGTTTTCTGGAAGTGTGGGTGGGGAGAGCCTGGCAGGGGGAGGGGGGGTCGTGCTCTCAGCTGGGCCCCTTGATGACCTCAGATTGCAGGGACCAGGTTGTTTGAGAGCTGCAAGCAGGGCCACACCTCCAGGGACCCTGTGCTGGGGGTACCACCCTTGCCGCTCCACCCTGCTCTGAGGGCCCTGGGTGGCCAGGGCGGGCACAGAGTGGGTGGTGATGCCAGCTGCATCCCTGGGGTTCATAGTCTGGGGAGCACATGAGTTCCCGGCACAATGCTCCCAGGAGGCAGAGCCAGGAGTCGCAGGGAGGCGTTTGCTTGAGAGGGTCTGGGAGGGCTTCCTGGAAGAGGGGGCATCAGTGCCGAGCCTCAGAGTTTGTGGAGCCCGCCGCCTGGCTGAATCCTGCCTGCCGGTGTTACCTCAGGGTGTTCCTCGTTGCAGTGCCTCAGTTTCCTCACCAGTACGCTAGGAGAGACCAGCGTAGCCAGCCACAGCGGGGTCGTGAGGATTAAGTGAGGGGACAGCAGTGTCTGGCACGGTGGGTGCTGAGTAAATTCATGGAGGAGTGCCCGGGCGGTGGGGCTGGTGGGCTGGGCAGGGGGTCTGAACTGGAGGGACTCGGGCGCCCTCCTCCTCAGGGTGCAGGACAGCACCTGCACGGCGGGGCCGCATTTCCATTTCCAAAGCTGGGCGCGCTCTGTCCAGGCCTCCCCACCAGGAGCGCGGCCCGGCGGCTCCTGCCCTCCGGACCCCCAGCCCACAGGCCCGTGCAGCCCCATGAGGGGGCCAGGGGGAGCTCCGAGGTTCTAGGGAGGGCGCGCACCGGGAGAGGGCGCCGGGCCGGCCGGCGGGAGGAAGGAGGGGTCCCGGGCGGCAGCGCCCCCGGCCCTCGCCGCGCCCCGCACTTCCCTTTCCTGGCTGGGCTTCCTCTTCCCCGCGCCCGCCCTGCGCGGCCCCTTTGTTTCCCGGGCAGGGCGCGGCTATATTTAGGCGGCAGGTGTGGGAGCCCCCGGCAGCCGGGTCGCCCGCCGGTCACGCCCCCCACGTGACGCCCGGGCGCTATAAATAGCCGCAGGCGGCGGTGGCGGCAGCGCCTGGAGCCGGCTCCGCGGCGGAGGGGCGGCGCCCCGACCCAGGCCCAGCACCGTGGGCACCGCCAGGCCGGCGCGTATGGAGGCGGTGGGACGCCTGCGGCGCGGGTGAGCCTGGCAGGTGGGGACGCGGCGGACCCAGGCCTTCCGGGACCCCAGCCCCGCCGGGGAGGAGGTGGCGCCCTCCGGAGGGCTGGGCGGGAGCCCCGCTGGCACCCAGGGAGGGGGCCGCGCCCCTTACCACGACCCCACCCGCGACTGGTTCCCCGGGACTCCCCAGAGCGCCCGCCTCAGCCCTGACCGCGGCGCAGCTTACTTCTCCTGAGACCCGCTGAGCCCCGGGCCTCCAGCCTCCTCCCCCAAAATCACAGGGGGCGCCCTGTCTGAAGCGGGGGCTGGATTCAAACTTCTTAAGCTGCTGTGCCATCGGGAAGGAGGGCGGTAGCCTCCCTGAACCTCGATTTCCTCTTCTGTGCAGGGCGCTGCGTGTTGTTCCTGCCTCCTAGATTTGAGCCAGAGAGAACCCAGTTAACTGGACGCCTGGTGTGGCCCTGGTGGAGAATGTTCTCCCCTCTCCCTGGCTTGTTTCCTCATCTCGCAAACAGGGACAAGGATGGACTCTCCCTTAAAGGGTCTTGAGAAATAGCTGAGGGCTCTGGGCCTGCTGGCCCGAGGAGGCTGAGCCAGATCTTGGGAAGGGTTCTGCAGGGCTTGGTAGCAGGAGGGAAGGAGGTAGCAGGAGGGAAAGAGGGGCCACGGCTGCCAGTGGGTCCCCGTGCTGTGGGCCGCGGGCCTGGTGGGGGTGGTAGCGACTCAGGACACATGGAGGCAGGGGCAACCTGTCCCCATTTCGCAGATGGGAAGCCTGAGGCTTTGGCTTCAGGGAGTTCTCAGTGCCCATCCCTGGGGATCCTTAACCCTTGCTCTCAGGGCCCTACCTGGTGACCTCACTGGGGGCGTGTGGTTATGGAGGGGTTTTCTCCCTTGGGGGACAGCCACCAGGCAGGGCAGAGCCACATAGTGGTGCCAGGGCATCATTGCTTTGCTCTCACCTGGGGCAGGGGTAGGGGCCCTAGGCTGCAGAGACAAGTGGGATGTGTGGCAAGACCCTGGTCCAGCCTCTCCCTGGACCCCTAACCCCATTCTAGCCTGGGCTGTGACCCCTGAGCGTAGCCCAGGCTAACCCCCTGATTCCGGCAGATGTGTGGCATCCTTAGGCCTTCAGTGGGGGGTAGTGTGGGGTGGTTCGGAGCCTCCTCCCTCCCAGTAGCCTGCAGCCCTGAGGACCTGTGCAGGGCCACTAGGCAGCAGGTCCAGGCCACGTGCTGGTGCCTGTGGGGTCTTCCTGGGTCCCTGGCAGCTGTAGGTGTGAGGGGTTGGTCAGCCCCTCAGGGAGAGGCCCAATACTGTGGTTTCTCTGGTGCTTTTCTTCCTTTCTTTCTGTAAACATGAGCTCGGCTCCCGTGTGCACACACACAGGGACATCCTGCTGCCCCAAGAGGGACCCAGGTGTTTGTGTGCTGTTAGCACGTGGTGGCTTCCCTCACCCACACTCAGAGCCTGTGCTCCCTCCAGTCGGGCAAGGTGGGGACTGGCGGGACCAGGGACAGTATCCTTGTCTCCACCTTTACCTCCTTCTGGGGGTCCCACCCCACCACCGGTTTTTTTTTTTTTTTTTGAGACGGAGTTTTGCTCTTGTTGCCCAGGCTAGAGGGCAATGGAGCGATCTCGGCTCACTGCAACCTCTGCCTCCAGGGTTCAAGCGATTCTCCTGCCTCAGCCTCCCGAGTAGCTGGGATTACAGGCATGCACTTCCATGCCTGGCTCATTTTTTATTTTTTTATTTTTAGTAGAGATGGGGTTTCTCCATGTTGGTCAGGCTGGTCTTGAACTCCTGACCTCAGGTGATCCGCCCGCCTTGGCCTCCCAAAATGCTGGGATTACAGGAGTGAGCCACTGCGCCTGACACCCACCGCCCATTTTAACCTTCCCAGAACCATGCAGTGGACAGAGCCTGAGGTGTGGCGGCTGCTCTGAGCCCATGAGCACTGGCTGCCACCCAGGGTGTGGAGGGCAGGCAGGGAGGAGCCCACTGTCCCAGGTAGCCACCCTCTGAGTCCAGGGGCCCAGGCCTCAAGCCCTACCTGCACCTGGGCTGAAGCTCCAAGGGCCCAGCCTGCCTGGTGGGCAGCTGGGAAGGGGGTGCTGGGGCTGGGGCAGGGGCACAGGTGAGAGGGGGTGGGTTGGGGAATGGAGGGCTCTGCTGGGCGAGGGGCCCTGAAGTGCCTTTCCTTGGGTAGCAGGCAGTAGTGACAGGGCCGGGCTTGGGTTGAGTCTAGGGGGCTGGAGAGTCTGCTAACAGCTGGGTCACAGCCAGGGCCAGCAGTGCGGGGACCCCTCAGCAGCAGTGCCCAAATACAGCTTGGGTCACTTGTGTCACCCCTCATCGTGCTCATGGGGTAACAAAGAGGCCGGCACCTTGCTCAAGGCCTCCCAGCCCTTCCGTAGAGAGGGAAGGGGGCTGCGTGCTCCTGGAACCCCTTTGCCTGGGAGCTTTGGGGTCATGAGACCCAGAAAGGGAGAGAGGCAGGCGTGGAGGTGCCTTGGGTTGCTGTGGCCCCCCCTGCCGCCTCCCCTCTTCAGGGCCCTGTCATGGTGTGAACCCACTCCTGGCCACCTGTGCTGTCACCACCTTGGCATGTGTGCCTGATGGCTGGCCCATTGGCGTGTTCTGTCCCCGCCTCCCTGAGCTCCTGGAGGGGCAGAGCTGGCCTGTTTATCCCCGAGCCTGGCTGAGACCTGTGTGAGCAGTGGAGACACAGTGGCGGGGGGACACTGGTGGACAGGGGGCTGCTGACAGGCAGGAGACTTTCTGCAGAAAGCAAGAGGCGATTAGGGTGGCCCACGGCCGCGTGTGGGGCCAGGCCCCTCACCTCCCTGTGCTGGCAGCACTGACCGAGTGCCTGGGCCCCATTCCCTGAGGATGGGCCACCCAGAGACACCTGGGCTCAGATGTTCACAGTGGCTGAGAATCGGAAGAGGAGAGGGCAGCTGTCCTGGGGTGGAGTTTCCGCAGATCACAGCAGGTGGGCAGGGGCCAGGCTCAGGCTTCTTAGGAACTCGGCCTCTGTCCCCACAGAGGGATCTGTCATCTGTGTGCTGGGGTTCATCATGTCCTCGGGGGTGTGTGTGTCCCTGAAATCCCTGTCCCCTCTGTCCTCCGTCATGCCCTGCTGGCTGTGTGGTGGCTACCCTGTCGCCTCTGGGCCCTGGGTCAGTCCTGGCAGGAGCCGTGCTTCCTTGTGCTCCCATATAAGGAAATAGACCCAAAAGGGTCATTCTCTCAGCATGGTCAGGAGGAGGGCTCTGGGAGAGGTGTCGCCTGTGACTGTGGGCTCATGACAGGCATGAACCCCTTGTGGGAGGCGGGGCCCCCTGTGATCCCTTTCTATTCATTTCCTTCGTCTTTCCCCACAGATGCTGTGTGCTGTGGACCCACCTGGGGTTCATGGAGTGGGCCACGGGGCCCAGCCCTAAGCACTGCTGCGCCCAGGGTCGCCGCGCCTCCTGCTGAGGGGTCCCCGTGCCACTGGCTCTCACCATTGCCCTCGCCTGCCGATGGCCTCTGCTGCCCAGCCTGGGGCCAGCTCTACCGCCTGAGCCCCCTGCCCCACTCCAGGACTCACCGTACCCCGATGGGGTAACGTGACACAGGCCCCACACGTCAGAGGCCGCTGTCCCCACGGCCACTGCCCGTGACCCCTGGCCCAAGGCAGCTGGAGTTGGTTCAGTTCAAGTTCATTCTTCCTCTGGCCCTTGGGGGCTTGGGGCCCACCTCTGAGTGAAGGGGGCTGTCTGCCCATCCACCAATGTGGAGAGGGCGCCCCCGGTGTGGGGTCCAGCTCTGGACACTGCTTGGCGGCCGGGTTCACTTTGAGTTTTTAAGTTTTCTTTGCTGAGCTTTTTTGGTTGTTCTTTTTATTTTTTGCCTCTTTATGACTATCCAGCTCTGAGAGACGGGAGTTTGGAGTTGCCCGCTTTACTTTGGTTGGGTTGGGGGGGGCGGCGGGCTGTTTTGTTCCTTTTCTTTTTTAAGAGTTGGGTTTTCTTTTTTAATTATCCAAACAGTGGGCAGCTTCCTCCCCCACACCCAAGTATTTGCACAATATTTGTGCGGGGTATGGGGGTGGGTTTTTAAATCTCGTTTCTCTTGGACAAGCACAGGGATCTCGTTCTCCTCATTTTTTGGGGGTGTGTGGGGACTTCTCAGGTCGTGTCCCCAGCCTTCTCTGCAGTCCCTTCTGCCCTGCCGGGCCCGTCGGGAGGCGCCATGGCTCGGATGAACCGCCCGGCCCCGGTGGAGGTGAGCTACAAACACATGCGCTTCCTCATCACCCACAACCCCACCAACGCCACGCTCAGCACCTTCATTGAGGTGAGTGGAGACGGAGGTGTGGCAGGCAGGTGGCCCAGGTGTCTGGGAAGCCCGGCTGAGCTGCCCTCAGGCCTCGCAAGAGGGGTCCCCAGCCCCGGCTGGCCAGACAGGGCTCACAGCCTTGGAACAAAGCCCAGTCGCCTGTTACAGGATCCTGGAGGAGGGAGATGGGGGTGCCCCGGGGGTTGGGGTTGAGGGTGTTGGGGGATCAACGGGGTCCCCTGGGAGGCCTGCAGGGGGCTGGCGTGTGATAGGAGGGACTCCACGCTGTGTGGATAGAGGCAGGGGGTGAGGCAGGGGGATACATGGACCAGGCTGTGCGTGCTCAGCCGTGGCCTGGGCTGGGGCCCTCCCGAGCCCTTTGCTGTCCCAGATGTTGCTGGGCTCTGGATGAGGCCTCAGGTTAGACCAGGCTGGACTAGGGGCTTCAGGGCCCAGATCTCTGTGTGAGGAGGGACTGAGCAAGGGTCAGCGCTGACCACAGGAGGGAGGGACCACTGTGCCCTGGAGAGGCAGCAGAGATACCTGCCGCTGGCAACCCTGGCAGATGGGACGAGATGCGTTTACAGAAGCTTTCTTGGGAGTGGAGTCTGGAGCGACCTGCATGGCCTCCTGGAGGAGCCTGGCCTCTGCAGAACGCCCTGCTGTTTGCAGGCCTGGGGCCGTTTGCAGCGTCTGCAGTTGTGTGCGGGGCCGTTGACAGAGCCTCTGACTGTGCCAGGCTGTGTGAGAGGCTGCAGCTGTGTGCAGGGTCATTTATGGCTGAGTCCTTTCCCCTGTGACATGAGATAAGCCATCATGGTCTTGTCATAATGAAACAGATTTGGGCGTGAGAGGGCATTAAGAACTGTAGAGCAGCAGGAGGCATTGGGCACCTTGCCATCAGGGAGCCTGGACCCTGGACACTGAGCCAGGTGCCCTACAGAAGATGGCTGTCCCTCTCGCAGCTGAGACCCCTGAGATAACAGCAGCATCTACAGAAAGATTGGCGAGAACAGCACGGTGAGTGGCCAGGGTGAGGCCTCAGAATATGACTGGGATCAGGGTTAAGTCTGTAACCAAGGTCAGGTCTCAGTGTGTGACCAAGGTTGGGGCTCACTGTTTGACCAGGATCAGGGCTCTGTGTGACCAGGGTCAGGGTTCGGTGTGTGTCTGGGATCAGGGCTCAATGTGTGACCAGGGTTGAGGCTCAGTGTGTGTCCAGGATCAGGGCTCAGTATGTGACCAAGGTTGGGACTCAGTGTGTGTCCAGGATTAGCGCTCAGTATGTGACCAAGGTTGGGGCTCAGTGTTTGACCAGGATCAGGGCTTAGTGTGTGACCAGGGCCAGGGTTTGGTGTGTGTCTGGGATCAGGGCTCAGTATGTGACCAGGGTCGAAGCTCAGTGTGTGTCCAAGATCAGGGTTCAGTGTGTGACCAGGATTGAGGCTTAGTAGGTGAGCAGGGTTAGGGAGGGCTCATCCTGTGACCAGGGTTAACGCTTAGTGTCTGACCAGGATCAGGGCTCAGTGTGTGACCCAGATCAAGGCTCGGTATGTGACCAGGATTAGGGCTCAATGTGTGACCAGGGTTGGGGGCTCAGCACGTGATCAGGATTAGGGCTCAGAGGTGTGTGACTATCAAGGCTCAGGACGTGACCAGGATCAGGGCTCAGTGTGTGACCAGGATCAGGAAGGGCTCAGCCTGTGACCAGGGCCAGGGCTGAGCCGTGGGCTGGGTGGCCATTCCCTCTGCTGAGGGTGCAGAGGGCCTCTGAGGTACCCCATGGCCACAGAGCCCAGCACCCTGCCTGCTCCCTGCATTCTCAGATAGTTGGGTGCTGGCCTCTCTGTGTTCCAGGTCCCTGTCCCGTGACCAGCAAGACCCATCAGCTGATTCCTCACCCCTCCCAAAATAGCTACGAGAGCAGGTGGGGTGGGAACAGCCCCCGCACGTGACCCCTGTGGAGTGGATCCTCCGCAGTGGGGGTATAACTATCGGCCTGGCTGTGAACTACCACCACCTTTTCCCTGGTCGTGTGGGGCTTCCCTGCTGGCGTACAGGGCCCAGCTTCCTCCTGGCTGCCATCTGAGCGGTGCCCACCCTCCCTGCTCTGAGGCGCCCCAGCTGATGCCCGCCCCTCTTAGACCCTAAAAACTGGACCCATCCCTGCGGCTCAGCTGGGGTCGCTGTTCGGATGCAGGGGCTCACACGTGGGCTGGGGAGTCCAGTTCCTGCTGTGGGGACCCAGTAGCTTTTCTGGAAGAAATGTCCTTGCTGGTAGATCTGGGGTCCTGAGCACCCCAGAGGAGGGAGTGGTGTGCTGGGCAGCTGGGGTCCCAGCTGCCAGTTACCGTGAATGTAGGTGGGGACACCTTTGCCTCTGCTGGGTGGCCCAAGGGACCTAGGACAGGCTCTTCGACAGCCAGACACTACCTCGACCAGTAGTGGAGCCTGAAGTCCACTCTTGGTGGACCTCACTGCATCAGGGTCTGCCTGGCTGGAGGGTGACATGCCCTTCCCTGGGGGCTTCAGGGGCCATGACCCTGCCCCAGGGGACTGAGGGGACAGGGCTCCACCCCGAGAGGTCTGAGGGGACATGTCCAAGTCCTGGGTGACTGTGGGGGACACAGCTGTGCCCTGGGAGCCCTGGTGAGTGGGTCCTGCCCCCTGAGCCCTGCAGCCCCAGCCCAGCCCTGCCTCCTCCGTCCTCCCACCCCCAGGACCTGAAGAAGTACGGGGCTACCACTGTGGTGCGTGTGTGTGAAGTGACCTATGACAAAACGCCGCTGGAGAAGGATGGCATCACCGTTGTGGTGAGGCGCGCGCCACGGGGACCCTAGTCACTGCTGCCACCGGGGGAGGGTGGGGCGGGGGGCTCCGGGCCTGCGCAGAGGGTTTGGTGCCCCTCCTGTGGCAGCCCTGGGCATGTCTGTGCCTGGGCCACGTGTGTGTCTGGGTACATCAAGGGAAGGCCAGGGTGTTGGGCCGTGTGACCTCAAGAAAGTCACCCTTGCGCACCCGTCTTTCTGTCTCTAGGGTGGGCCAGCACGGTTCGCCAGGCAGGGGTGGCACATGCTTGGTGCATCGGCCAAGGTGGCGGGTGGGCTCCTCTGCCTGTCTCAGGCCCTCCTCTGGGCCTGTCTTGGGTGCATCTCAGTCTTGCTGCCTGGGCGGCTGGGGCCCTGTTGCCAGGCAGCAGGCTCCTGGGGAGGGCCCTTGGGCAGTTTCCTCGGCTTCTTTGGCCCTGGGGACCCAGGTCTGGGCGGGGGGTGGGGCGGTTCTGCTGCGATATCCTTGGGGGGGTGGGCCACAGCAGCTGCAGGCCCAGAGCCAGCCCCAGGGGGGTCCACCCCCGGCCCGGTGGACGACTGCCCCCCTGGTGCAGGCCTGCCCAGCTGCGCCTGGGCCTCAGTCTCCTCAGTGCGGAGCACCCCTCAGTCACTGCTTTTCATCCCAGGACTCTGCTTTTGGCTGGGGTTGCAGTTTTGTGACCTCAGCTTGGCGGTTTGGAATGGTGGCAGCGCTGGCGGTTTGGGGTCAGACAGGCCTTGGGCTGCGTCCCGCCTCTGCCCTCCCCAGCCTTGCGACCCTGCAGGTCACTCCGAGCCTTGGGTTCCTCACCTCAAAGCGAGGCTGCTTGGAAGAATGGGAGGCAAAGGCATGTCCCCGCTTCTCGCACGGGGTGCGCCCACACCCTCCCTCCCCTTCCACAGCAGCGGGAGGGATTGGGGTCAGACGTAAGTAGCCGTGACACCGGTTGTCTCTAGGAGTTGCCCTGCCTGGAGGCTGGGGAGGGGTGAGATGCCCCCGAGGGCTGTGTGTCTGCCTCAGTGGGCCCAGCGGGCTCTCCCTGGTACCAGACAGCCCCATGCCTGGCACAGTCCCTGCATGAACCCGCCTTCCCAAGACTGAAACGTGTCCACTCCTACTGCAGCGCCCTGGCCCGGGCCCTCCCCTAGGAAGACTCACGTTGCCCACCGATCTAGGGCGCTGGGGGACGGGACAGTGGGAAGCACAGGTCATCTTCCAAGACCAAATTAACCCCCAGGAGCAATGGGCCGGGGCCCGGTGGAACCGCCTGTTTCGAGTCCTGCCCTCAGAAATGTGGGCCCTGTCTCGCCCCACAGCCCTGTCTTCAGTCCTTCCTGGCACCTGGGCTGTGTGTGGCATGTGCCAGCCATCTTTGCATGCCAGCACAGGGGATGAGACCCTTTGCACCAGCCGACCCAAAACCTCTCAGGCTGCCACCGGCACACAGGCGTGAGGGATTGTGACCCCAGAACCAGAGCTCGGGCTGACAGGTGTGGGGATTAGGATTTGTGCGACTCTGGAGCAGGCTCTATTCAGAAAGGGGTGGGGTGGTCCAGGAAGGCTTCCTGGAGGAGGGGATAGCTGCAGTGTACAGGGAATGATGAGGAGTCTGAAGCACTCACCATGGGGTGCCCATAGGCAAGCTGTGCCCCTCCTGTGTGCCCTCTGGGTCTGCTGCCCCCACCCTAGTGGGCTCCTGGCACCCTCTGCCTCTCAGAGCTCCCTTTCCTCGCCTGAGCCCCAGAGCCGCCTCTCTACCCTCCCTCAGCCGGGGGTCCTCATGTCTGCTTCCCTCCGTAGGACTGGCCGTTTGACGATGGGGCGCCCCCGCCCGGCAAGGTAGTGGAAGACTGGCTGAGCCTGGTGAAGGCCAAGTTCTGTGAGGCCCCCGGCAGCTGCGTGGCTGTGCACTGCGTGGCGGGCCTGGGCCGGTGAGTGTCGGGGCGGGGTAGGGCTCGCCATGTCAGGTGGTTGGGCATCTCGTGGTCTGACAGCCTCGCTTTTGGATGTGGGTCTTGAACACACGTCCACGCGACCTTCCCAGGAGGCCCATGCCCCTAGTGCTGGGGCTCCCAGACTGGTCCTCTCCCAGCATCACAGAGAGGAAGTGCTTCCCAAAGTCTAACCCAACTTCTTCCTGCTATGGTTGAAACCATCCTGACATCTTGTGTAGGAAAGGGCTGCCGTCCCCCTCTCCAGACACAAAGATCCCCCCACACACAGCTGGGGCCTCAGACTCCCTGCTGGGAGAACGGGAGGAAGAATGGCAGCTGGGATCGGATGACATGACCAGTGGGACACCCCCATCTGCAGAGGGAGACCCAGGCGAGCAGAGTTGATAGCAGGCATGGATCCGGCTCTTAGCACTTCACCCGCCAGCTCTTATTTAACCCTCCCCCAGCAGATCACAGAGAGGTTGCCTAGGAGGGAGCCAGGATTTAGACCCAGTGCTCAGGCTGGGCTGTGAGGCTGTGGCCTCCATGGGGGAGCTTCAGGCAGGGGGGATTCTGGGCCCCTTGGGCCCCCGTGCCCTGCATCTTCAGCAGGTGCCCTGCCAAGGGGACAGGGGTGCGCAGGCTCCGATGACCCCCGCCCTGCTGTTTGCCCCCAGGGCTCCAGTCCTTGTGGCGCTGGCCCTTATTGAGAGCGGGATGAAGTACGAGGACGCCATCCAGTTCATCCGCCAGTGAGTGGCCGCGGTGGTGGGGTGGGCTGTGAGCGCTGGGGGAGGGGAGATCCGGCTGCCCACGAAGGGTGGCGGCATTGGCTGTGTGGTTCCGTCGCTCTGAGGCTGCGTCGATCAGCACAAGCTGGGCCTTGCTGCAGAAACGGGGAAGCCTGAGGTGTTTCTGATGGGTGGGGACAGCAGCCCCCGAGTGACCATGCAGCCACACAGGGACACAGCGAGGCCACCCGCCACGCCGTCCTGCCCGCCCTCCACAGACAGAGCTCCTTCTGTCGCAGCCATCCTGACGGGGGTGGAAGGACCCCCAGAGCCAGCCAGTTCAGTCCCTCCATGAAAAACTAGAACCTGAAACCCCACACCACACCGTGTCCACCCCCAGGGACGCTGACAGTGGGCTAGTGTCTCAGGACTACTCTGAGTCTAGCTGCTCACCACCCCTCCCCCCAACCCCGAGCTCTCCAGCTCAGCCCCTCCCCGCCCTCCTTAGAGGCTTCTAGGCCAGCTCGCCTGCCCCATCCCTGTCACTTGGTGGCCTCCCTGGGGAGGGCTGCCATCTGCCCACTGCCCAGGGGGTCCTGGGGGAGTCTGGCCGGGATGGCAGGGCCAACTCTGGAGGAACGGATGCGGCACCTGAAGCCTGCCCCTGCCCAGCCCACCATGTGTGTGCCCGTGAGTGTGACACACCTGTGGTACTCCTCGGACAGGCTTGGCTGGTGGGGCCATCTCTTCCTCCCAGAGGCAGGCTTGTTCCCAGCCATGCCAGCTGGCCCTGTGGGTCTGTGTGAGAGTGTGGCCCGCCCTGTGGGTCTGCGAGAGCGTGGCCCGCCCTGTGGGTCTGTGCGAGAGCGTGGCCTGCAGGTGCTCAGGTCTCCCTGGGGACCATGGGATGTGCACGCTCACACACAGACACGCATGGGGGTCATACAGGCACACATTCACAAGCACATGTGTGCCCACACAGACCCAGGCATACGCAGGCACACACTCACAGGCAGGTGTGTGAACACAGGCACATACAGACAAGCGGGTATTTGCACACATGGACACACATGGATGCACTCAGGCATGTACACACGTGTGCACTCATACATGACATGCACTCTCACACATGCGGGTGCACACCTTCCCCGGGTTCTCTCCCCACCCCACGTCTCACCGAGCAAGGGCTTGTCTCTCCCTTGTGGCTTTTGCTGTGTGGCTCCCCGCACCTGAGGCTGCGCTGGTCAGGACAGGTTGGGCCATGCTGCGGAAACAGCCAGGCCTGAACCCCAACGACTCAGAACAGCACGGGCGTTTCTTGCCCCTGTTGCGTGTCTGTTGGTGGGGGCCCTACCCGGAGGCGTGGCTGAGGGCTGCGCCTTCCCCAGTGTGCCGGCTGCTGGGCGAGGAAACGAGCACGGTGGAGCCACACGGGGCACCTGCAGCTTTGCTGGGCAGAGACTCCTCGCGCTACTGCTGCTCCCACTTCCTTGGCCAGGGCCAGCCTGTGGCCACGCCTGAGGTCATGGCAGGTGGGGATGGATGAGCCTCCAGAGGCGCTGGGTGGGCAGCCCCCGCCCCTCAACGCCTGTCACCTCAGGGCCTCTCAGGTGTGGCTGCAGCATCCTCTCCAGGAAGTCTTCCTGTTCACCCCAGCCAGGTACATGTGGTCAAGGACCAGGTGGCGGGGCAGGGTGAGCACATAGCCCAGGTCCCTGCTGTAAGGACCAGGTGGCGGGAGCAGGGTGAGTGTACAGCCCAGGTTTCTGCTGTAAGGACCCGGTGGCGGGGACAGGGTAAGCGCACAGCCCACGTCCCCGCTGTAAGGACCAGGTGGCGGGGACAGGGTGAGCACACAGTCCAGTCCCCGCTGTAAGGACCAGGTGGCGGGGACAGGGTGAGCGCACAGTCCGGGTCCCCGCTGTAAGGACCAGGTGGCGGGGACAGGGTGAGCGCACAGTCCGGGTCCCCGCTGTAAGGACCAGGTGGCGGGGACAGGGTGAGCGCACAGTCCGGGTCCCCGCTGTAAGGACCAGGTGGCGGGGACAGGGTGAGCGCACAGTCCGGGTCCCCGCTGTAAGGACCAGGTGGCGGGGACAGGGTGAGCGCACAGTCCGGGTCCCCGCTGTAAGGACCTGGTGGCGGGGACAGGGTGAGCGCACAGCCCACGTCCCCGCTGTAAGGACCAGGTGGCGGGGACAGGGTGAGCGCACAGTCTGGGTCCCCGCTGTAAGGACCAGGTGGCGGGGACAGGGTGAGCGCACAGTCCGGGTCCCCGCTGTAAGGACCAGGTGGCGGGGACAGGGTGAGCGTACAGCCCAGGTTTCCGCTGTAAGGACCAGGTGGCGGGGACAGGGTGAGCACACAGTCCGGGTCCCCGCTGTAAGGACCAGGTGGCGGGGACAGGGTGAGCGCATAGCCCAGGTCCCCGCTGTAAGGACCAGGTGGTGGGGATGGTGGGGACAGGGTGAGCACACAGTCCGGGTCCCCGCTGTAAGGACCCGGTGGCGGGGACAGGGTGAGCACACAGTCCAGGTCCCCGCTGTAAGGACCCGGTGGCGGGGACAGGGTAAGCGCACAGCCCACGTCCCCGCTGTAAGGACCAGGTGGCGGGGACAGGGTGAGCGCATAGCCCAGGTCCCCGCTGTAAGGACCAGGTGGTGGGGATGGTGGGGACAGGGTGAGCATGCAGCCCAGGTCCCTGTTGTAAGGGAAGGTCGCGCAGCTGGGCTGGAATTCTGGGCTCAGCCCCTCCCTTACTCACAGGCCCCCCTTCCTGGATGGTGGAGGTGCCCAGGCACCACCCTTGTTGTCTGCTCATGGCCTTGGGGTGGGTCCTACCGAGCTAGGGAAGCCTGGGGGCCGTAGGGAGCCCAGAGTCAGCCTGGAGGAGGTGGCGCTTTGGTGAGTTTGGAAGGCAAGCAGGGGTGAGCTGCAGGGGGCCAGGAAAGGGTGACTGTGACTCTGGGAGCAGCCGTGCCAAGGCCCTGGGACAGGAGGGGCTTGGCCAGCCTCAAGGCCTTACTCCAGCCCACTGCACTCTCAGATTCCAGCTCCCTGGGGCAGGTGAGATGGCCGAGCCAGGTCCTTGGATGATCTCTGTTCCTGTTCCCCTCTTCCCAGGAAGCGCCGCGGAGCCATCAACAGCAAGCAGCTCACCTACCTGGAGAAATACCGGCCCAAACAGAGGCTGCGGTTCAAAGACCCACACACGCACAAGACCCGGTGCTGCGTTATGTAGCTCAGGACCTTGGCTGGGCCTGGTCGTCATGTAGGTCAGGACCTTGGCTGGACCTGGAGGCCCTGCCCAGCCCTGCTCTGCCCAGCCCAGCAGGGGCTCCAGGCCTTGGCTGGCCCCACATCGCCTTTTCCTCCCCGACACCTCCGTGCACTTGTGTCCGAGGAGCGAGGAGCCCCTCGGGCCCTGGGTGGCCTCTGGGCCCTTTCTCCTGTCTCCGCCACTCCCTCTGGCGGCGCTGGCCGTGGCTCTGTCTCTCTGAGGTGGGTCGGGCGCCCTCTGCCCGCCCCCTCCCACACCAGCCAGGCTGGTCTCCTCTAGCCTGTTTGTTGTGGGGTGGGGGTATATTTTGTAACCACTGGGCCCCCAGCCCCTCTTTTGCGACCCCTTGTCCTGACCTGTTCTCGGCACCTTAAATTATTAGACCCCGGGGCAGTCAGGTGCTCCGGACACCCGAAGGCAATAAAACAGGAGCCGTGGCCGTGTGTGTGGAGTGGGCTACAGCGTCAGGCGGGGCGGGCTGGTGGCCTGGGGGCCCCAGAGGCTGCTGTCTGGATCCTGGGCTGGTGCCCAGGATGGGGCTCCCGCGTGCTCTTGCGCTGCCCTCTGGTGGCCGCTCTGGGTCCTTGCACCCCGACCCAGGGGCCAGCCTGCCCTGTCCTGTCCTGATACCGAGGTGGGAGCCCTGCCTTGGCCAGGGTGGCCGTGTTGACGGTTCTTGGGACTGTGACATTGGAAGGCGAGGCAGGTCACCAGCACTGTCCTCTGCAGGATGGGCTGGGATTCATTTGGCAGCTTCTCAGGGCCTGTGTCCGGCTGGTTGGTCCCTGTGCTGCCCAAACCAGGTGTCCACATTTCCGGCTCCGAGGCGCAGAGAAGGGGGCAGGTGGTGGCTTGGGTGGAGGAAGTCACCATCCATCAGCCCAGGGAGGGAGGGTGCCACCTGGGCACCTGGGGCTGGATGTGAGAGGCCTGGACCAGGGCCCGCCGGAGGGCGTGGACCAGATGCTCATGTGTTCCTGGGTGCAGTGTCTGTGTTGGGGGCTGGCCCCACCCTGGGCCGGGGTGCATGGAGGGCATGGCCCCAGCGGGGAGGAAGGTGGGCCTAGGGCTGGCTCCAGGGTGTGGAGAGCCTGGGAGTGGTCTCCGTCCTGGGGCCCCAGGAGGTTCCCGCAAGGAGCGACTGGGGCAGGTGCTGGAGGAGGTCAGTGGACAAGATGGGGAGATGTGGAAACCCCAAAAGCCCCTTCTCAGGCAGCCCTGCCCCCAAGACCGACAGATGGCTAAGGGGGCCGCAGACCTGGCTCCCCCAGCTCCTGTGTGGAGAAAGGGCAACAGCTGTCCCGGATGGTTATTCTCTCCTTTCCTCAAACACATTTGGAACTCAAGTAAATCCAATGCATGTTGGGTGAAGTTTGCTGTATTTTTTCAATCCACCAGCCAAGTTTTGGGGTCACCTCTGCTGGCCCTGTGTAGCCATGTCCCTGCCCCAAGAGGCTCACAGTCTAGCAGGGTTGGGGGGAAGACAGGCTGGTAAGCCTCCCAGTTACAGCTAGGGGTGCTCCACCTCGGGGGGTGGCGGGGACAGGGGGCATGGAGGTGGGGCCTTGGGGTGCTGCACCTTGGGGGGACTGAGGGACAGGGTGCATGGAGGCAGGGCCTCAGGGTGCTCCACCTTGCCGGGGGGACGGGGGAATGGGGGGCATGGAGGCGGGGCCTTGGCGTGCTCCACCTTGGGGGGCAGGGGAAATGGGGGCATGGAGGTGGGGCCTTGGTGTGCTCTACCTCGTGGGGCAGGAGAAATGGGGGCATGGAGGTGGGGCCTTGGTGTGCTCCACCTTGTTAGGGGGCAGGGGGACAGGGGCATGGAGGCGGGGCCTGGGGGGGGCACAGTGCAGAGTACCACGTCGGGAGGTGGGGGAGATGCCCCAGGTGGAAGGACTGCCTGAGCTGAGTGTGGAGTGGGGGTCCGCGCTGGCCAGGAGGGGAAAAGGGGTGCAGTCTGGATTATCCCATTGGTGGGATGGTGGCTGGCCTGGCAGGATCCCGAGACAGATGCAGCATGGGATGGGGCCCCAGGCAGAGCTCTGCAGGGAGGGGCTCTCCAGGAGCTGTGTGGACCCCAGGCCAGGCGGAAACCCAGGCCGAGGCCGAAGGTTGGGCAGGTCCCCTGGTGGCTCTCTGGGAGTCCAGGGTACCTGCCTCTGGACTCATCCCTCCAAGGGTCTCGGGAGAAAGGTCTTACTGCCCATTTTACAGATGGAACAGCTGAGGCTCAGAGAACCAAGACTCCTGCTTCAGGCGACAGTGTGTCCAGGGTGGGCCTGGCTGGTTCTGCTGCTAGCCCTGAATGGACTGAGGAGGATGTTGGTGGGGGTGGAGGGAGACGCTGGGGGCCCGAGGCTGGGGGTCCCGACTGAGGGGACCCCGTCCGACCGTCAGCCCCCAGCCACTGTGGCGCGCCAAGATGGAGACAACTGAAGATTGAGTGGCCACCCTGGGCGGAGGCTGCCCTCAATTTGAGTGCCTGCCCAGCCCCAGCCCCCAGGACCCTGGGACCCTGGCAGGCTGTGGCTTGGGCTCAGGCCCCAGTCAAGGTGACCCTGTCTCCAGGAGTGGACGGGTATCCACCTGCAGGGCACTTCACAGACTTCATAGTTTGTCTCTGTCCCCTGGGCCTGACCCTGAGTTTGTCCCCAAGTCCTGCCAGTGTCTCCTGGGGCTTGGCTTGGTCACAGCAGAGGGGCCTGTGGTGGGCAGGGAGCTGACACGCATAACGCTTCTTTTGTTGAATCTAGATCTTTCTTTCAAATGGAAAAACGTTATGCAACCAAGCTCTGTGGGGGGCGGATGGGGCAGGGCTGACCAGGTGGACACGGGAGGGGAAGGCGGTGGGTGGGGGAGGATGGCTGGAGGTCACTGCTTGGGTCTGGCCGACACCTTCTGGAGGAAGGAGAGCTGGCTGGTGGCGAATTCCCGGATGCTGGGCTCAGGGTCACTTCTGAGATGTTCAAAAGCTCCAGAAGAGGAGGAGCAGGTCAGAGGTGACCCCAGCGCAGGAGCAGCCCCTTTACTCCAGCCCAGGTGTTGGGGGGGTGGGGGGTGGGGTGGGTGGTGGGTGGGGCCAGCTCAGACCCCACCTCCTGTGACTCCAGGCCTGGGATGCTTCCCTCCACCACTAACCCACCACCCCCATTCCCCAGCCCCTTGTTCTGTTGGTGCCATGAGGCAGCTGTGGAGTGAGTGTGAGCCTTAGGCCCCAGGTGCCCTGATGGGGGCCTGGGGAGGGGAAGGGCCAACCTCAGCCTCCAGACATGAAGGTGGGATGGCGGCTGGGTGCTGCCCAGGAGGCCTGTGTCTTTGTCCTGATGCTGATGCTGGGTAGGGGGGGCAGGAGGGGGTTCCCTTCTGGGGCCTCAGTCTTGCTGTCTGTGCAGTGGGTCTTAAGAGTGCTTGGGCAGGGGTGGGAGGGTGCGGGCTGCGGGAGCTCTGGAGGGAGGGCTGCTTACTGCGGAACAGCAGGTTGGTGTCCACAGCATTCAGCATCTGGAACACGGCCTGGGGGTGGTAGCAGATGGTGTGGCCTGTGTAACAGACGGGCAGCTGGTGGCTCAGGGCTCCCTGTCTCCTGGGGGGCTGTAGCCCACCCCTGCCCCTCTTCAGCCCCAAGCTCCTCCTCATCCACCCCCTTTCCTCTCTTGTGGGTGGTGAGTCAGGGAGGGTCAAGGGTGCTTGGGTGGGGGCAGGCCTGGGGGTCTTTAAGCCCGGCCTCGCCCTCCCACCTATGAAGAGTGTCACCCAGGTCTTGATGTGGCAGGAGTGGCTGTGCAGGTAGCTGAGGGCCTGTGACAAGTGGATGCTGAATTCCTCCTGGCTGCGGGTCATCTGGCCGGAGGAGAGCACACCTGGCTGGGACGGGCTGGGGGCCCTGGGCATACCAGGGTCCTCCAGCCCCAGTTTGCCTTGCCCAGCCCCTGGAGCTGCTATAGCAGCTGTGTGTGAGACGGGAGTGAATGGGGGAGCCGCAAGCCTGGTCTCCCCCACTCCCTGGCCCTGTTCCTCCCCACCGATCCCAGGCCTCTCACCAGGCAGGTCCAGAGGAAGTGGCGGGCGCTGAGGCCCCTCTCCCAGGCCAGCGTGCAGAAGAGGGTGTGCAGTAGCCGCCAGCGGAGCAGCACAGCACAGCGGTAGAAGGTGAACTTGGCCTGCTGCAGGGACAGGCGTGGAGGGTCACCCACCGCCTATGTCTGAGCCCTTTCCCCTAGAGGCCACAGGCCTCCATGGGCACTGGAGGCAGCCTGCTGTGCGGGTGTTCCCTGGTTCTGTCCTGCTTGTGCCCCTCGGCAAGCCTCCCCGACCCTGGCAACAGCACCTGGCCCCCCGGAGCCCAGGCTGGTCTGCCCGCGGCCCTGGCCCTGCCCCTTCCACGGTTGCCCCGTATCCTTTTCCCCATGGCAGGGAGACCCGCGAGGCCAAGCTCTGACTTCGTGGGCTGTGCACAGGGCATGTGCTGCCACGGCAGGCAGGGCACAGTCCATATTCACACAAGCTCTGTGAGCTGCTGGACCCCCTGCCCCGTTACAGGGACTGGGGGCACAGCAGTGAGCAGAAAAGACCGGGTCCTGCCGCATCGACGGCAAGTCTCGCTCGCATGCGTGTGCGCAGTGGGGGAGCGGGCAGGCCAACTGTGGTCACAGAAACCAGTGCAGATGGCCAGACCCTCTGCCCGCCACTTGCTGCCCCGTGGGAGCTCCCCCAACTCTCAGGCAGTGCTGCTGCCATCCGTCTGCCCCGTACCCTGGCCTCCTGTGGGTCCCAGCCCTGGCCAAGGTGAAGGCCTATCACCTGCCTTTCCTGGGGTGGGCACTGACCGTGGCGACAGCTGGGCATTGGTCCTTCAGGTGTAGGAGCAGGGGCACCATGCTCTGGTGCACCTGGGTCCGCAGGCCGCTCAGCTCCCTGTCTGCCATGGCCGCCACCAGGTCCCCGAACAGTGCCATGGCTGCCGCCCGAATCCCGTCCCGCTCCTGCAAGGCAGAGGCTCAGAGGCACGGCCAGACCTGTCCAGGGGTCCCAGCTTTGGTCCAAGTTGGGACCCCACACCTTGTAGGGGTACAACTCAGTTCTTTCTGCAGGATTCCTTCACCCAGGCTCTCGGCTCCCGGGGAAGGGAAGGGCTGGGGCTCCCCCCTCACACAGGGCTCTCTGGTGTCCCTGAGGATGTAAGAATCACATCTCCCTTCTACCCACAACTGCATCCTGGCAGCCCAGGCCTCATGAATGCATTTGAGGGGCGCCTATCCCCCAGATTCCCCAGTGAAGGAAAAACAGCCACGCTAACCGTGCTGACATGTCAGAAAGCAAATCTGGGTAGGCTGTCGTGGGGCCGGAGACCACTGCACTTGGAGACTGAACGTGAGAACTAGTTCAGCCCTGTGGAGAAGGGGTGAGCGCCAGGGGCCCACCCAGCCCACCTGCTCAGCGCCCACCTCAACCGAGGGCCACAAGCGGGCAGCTCCCCAGGGCCTGGGCCTCCCTGCTTGCAGCTTGGGGTTCCCCCTTTGGCAGAGGAAGGGAGCTGGGTTGGGAGGAGGGTCCTGGAGGGCGTGAGCAGGAGGTAGCCCCGCCCTGCCCCAGTGCTCACGTCATTAAAGAAGGAGCGTGTGCTGATGGCAACGCCGAGGCTCTGACTCCCTGTGCCCTGCGCGCCCAGGCGGTGCAGCGTGTCTGACACGGTGCCCATGATGCACACGATCACCTGGTCGCTGCTCTGGAAGAAGCCGTCGAGCAAGGGCCGCAGCTGTCCCTGGAGCAGGCTTCCCTGGGGGTGGTGGCGGCTGGTGGGCGGAGAGCACTAGGACCCGCTGGCCCCATGCCCCCGCCTCGTTCTCCCACTTGACCCCCTCACCCCATCTGCACTGGGTGGGGGGGTGGGGGGTGGTGATTCAGAGCTGTGGGTCCCGGCCTGGCCCTTCCCGCCATGGGGAGCTGTGGGTCCCGGCCTGGCCCTGCCCGCCGTGGGGAGCTGTGGGTCCCGGCCTGGCCCTGCCCGCCATGGGGAGCTGTGGGTCCCGGCCTGGCCCTGCCCGCCGTGGGGAGCTGTGGGTCCCGGCCTGGCCCTGCCCGCCGTGGGGAGCTGTGGGTCCCGGCCTGGCCCTGCCCGCCGTGGGGAGCTGTGGGTCCCGGCCTGGCCCTGCCCGCCGTGGGGAGCTGTGGGTCCCGGCCTGGCCCTGCCCGCCGTGGGGAGCTGTGGGTCCTGGCCTGGCCCTGCCCGCCGTGGGGAGCTGTGCCCCTAACTGGGCTTTGTCCACCAGGAGCTGCGTGGTCTGGACAGGGTGGCCTCTTTTCTTTTTTGAGACAGGGTCTCACACTGTCACCCAGGCTGGAGTACAGTGGTGTGACCATAGCTTACTGCAGCCTTGACCTCCCAGGCTCAAGCAATCCTCCCAACATAACCTCCTGAGTAGCTGGGTCTACAGGTGCGTGCCACCACACCTGGCTATTTTTTTTTTTTGGGTGGAGATGGGGTCTCACTATGTTGCCTAGGCTGGTCTCAAACTCCTGGGGTTGAGCAATCCACCTGCCTTGGCCTCCCAAAGTGCTGGGATTATAGGTGTGAGCCAACACATTCGACTTGTCTTTTTTTTTTTTTTTTAATTAATTTTCAGCCAGTTCCGTCTTCTCCACTTGATTGCGTGTTTGCAGTGATTTCCTGAGTTATCGGGATGAATGGTCAGAAAGCAGTGTGCCCACCAATGGATGTTTCCTGCCATTGGGCCCCTTAGCAGTGACTTGGGTGCAAACCAGGGTGATTTTTACAACTTTTAAACAAGTTTAAAGCAGCTTTGTTGGCTTTCTTAGCTGTTTGCTTTGAAAATATTAAATTCATTTTCAGCAAGTGAGTCATTCAACAGTTACACTTTCTGAGCATCTATGTTTGCAGCCAGTGTTCGAAGACCAGGGTTCTGGCCAGGTCAGAGCAGGACAACAGAATGAAATTGTAATGGAAATGGTGAGAAAAGAAAAGAAAAATGCATAGCATGGCGTATTTCCACTCAGAGTGGAGTGGGGTGGCCTGCCCCAGCCACACCTGGTTCAGCCTTCCCATCCCCAAGCCGGCAGGCCTCCCTGGCTGGCAGTGCTCTCGGGGCCTGTCTCCTCTGGTCTGCTGTGGCTGCTTGCCCATATCCCACCTGATGCCAGGCGGGGAACCATTCCCTCTTCTCTGGACCTGGTCCTCCTGATCTAGCAGGGCCCTTCTTTGCCTTTCTGTATTCCCTGTATTCAGTGCAGGGTACAGAGGAGGCACATGGAAACTTCCTACTGATCATTTCCCTGCCTGAGAGAACATTTGGTGCACAGATAACCGAACACTGAATGAATGAATGAGGGAGCAAACGTGAATAACTGGGTGAATGAATAGACATAAAAAGAATGAACAAAATAAATAATGCAAGAATGGGTCACAGATGAAGGACCCAAGGAACAAGTGGGTGGGTGGAGGGATATGTGGGTGGACGGGGGGATCTATGGATGGATGAATGGACGGGTGAATGAGTGAGTAGATGGATGGAGCCATGGGTAGAGATGAATGGGTGGGTCGATGGTTGAATGGAGGGATGAATGGAGGAATGAATGGGTGGGTGGATGGATGGAGGCATGGGTGGAGGGATGCATGGGTGAGTGGATGGATAGGTAGGTGAATAGTTGGATGGGTGGTTGGATGGATGGAGGCATGGATGGAGAGATGAATGGATGGGTAGGTGAATAGCTGGATGAATGGGTGAGTAGATGGATGGATGGATGGGTGGAGGGATGAATGGGTAGATGGATGGGTGGGTGGATGGATGGATGGAGGGATCAGTGGATAGATGGGAAGATGAATGGGTGGGTGGATGGATGGAAGCATGGATGGAGAGATGAATGGATGGGTAGGTGAATAGCTGGATGAATGGGTGGGTGGGTGGATGGATGAAGGATGGAGAGATGAACAGATCATTGAGGAAGTGCTATCTAGTCTCCATCTTCCATTAAGCACCTACTATGCATCACGCACAATGCAAAGAGCTTTGCCAACTGTGACCCTGATGGAAGTCAGTCTTGTTAACCATGTGGAGGCCTGTGGTTGGAACAGAATCACAGTGAACTAGTCTGCTAGGCAAATGACTTTGGGATCTCTTTGGAAACGACCCCTTCTGCTGCCTTCCCATGATGACAGTTTTCTCCCACAAGCCCTGAAAATATTTATGTTCATAACAGCCTCCTCCAACAGCAACAGAAATGGGGGCTGGGCATGTCGCCTTCCCTCTGGGGTCTTAATGCAGCCCTGGGGTGGATGAGAGGAGGCTGAGGCTCCACACTTCCTGATCAGGTGAGAAAATTTCTGCCTCTAACTCAGCATTTTCAGGGTGCAGAGTCAGCCAGGCAGGAAGTTTGCTGCTGCTGCCAGCTGGTGCCCCTAGGGCTGACCACGTGCCAGGGACCGGTCTCTGCATGGCACTCATGACCTGCCTACCACAGGAGGCAGGCATTATTACTGCTCTCGTTGTACAGATGTGGTCACTGAGGCCTGGAGAGCTGACAAAGCCTGCCAGCTAGAAGGTGCTGGAGCGGGGATAGGTCTAGGGCCTGGACTCTTAACCACTGCATGGTACCCTGGGCCCCCACAGCAAGGGCGATGTCAGTTAAGTGGGGGGCTGTAGCTGGGGTAAGGGCAGATCCCCCAAAGGCGGCATCGCAGGCTTTCTCTCCCACAGCTGTCCATGATGGGATATGGGTTATTATGGTGATGAGGTAGAATTGGTTGGGACTGGAGAAGTCAGCAATGGGTTGGGGAGACCCATTCATAAGATTCTCAGAGGGCATTGTCCTCTCTGGGTGAGCCCTGGGATGCCATCTGGTGGGCTTCACGGTGACCACCTGGAGGTCTGCAACAAGGCCCCTCTCTCTTTCGGGCGTGGAGGAGACTCTGTGTCCGGGGAATAGACACTTTGACCCCTCCCACAACCTGCCCCATTCTACAGATGAGGAAACAGGCCCAGAGAGGTGGAGTCAGGTGTCCCAAGCCACACCACCTGAAGTGACAGAGCCGGGATTCCAACCCGGTGGCCCTTGCCTACACCCGGTGCACCGGCTGTTCTGTGGGGTTGCGTGTGCACCAGCCACAGTGCCCGACAGCCCTTACCTTATCTGGGTGGAAGAGGATGTTGCTTAGGCCCTGCAGACTCAACACGCGGACCTCAGGGCTGGGGTCGTGGAGGCCTTGTGCCAGCACGGTCAAGGCAGCTTGTTTGGGAAGCACCTCCAGCAGGACAGGGCTGTAGAGGAACTGAGGTGGCCCCCGGGAGGGCAGGCAGGTCACTCTTTTTTAGGCGCCTGCATCTGTGTTGAGGGGTGGGGCTCTAGGACCGGAGTCCGGTGGGAGTTTCAGGGAGGGAGGCTGACCAGTACCCTCTGGGTATCTTGGTGAACAAGTATCCTGGTTCAACCCCTCAATGTACAGCTGGGGAAACTGAGCCCCAGAAAGGGAAAGGGCCTTGCCTAAGGTCACACAGCGAGGCAAGGCCTCACTTTTATCAAGAGCCGAGCTTGTGGGGCACCTGGGGGTAGAGCGCCCATGGAGGGCGGCCTAGGCAGCTGGTGGGTGGGAGCTGGCATGAGGCTTTCGCTTGGGTTCCCCTACTAGTGTCAGTTACGGAAACAGCACCCTCCTCGCCCCAGTCCCACCCCTGCCTGAGCTCACAGCTGCAAAGTGTGCCACACCCAGCGGCATCTGCTTCTACCCATTCCCCTTTGGCTTTACCCTGAGTCCCACAGGCAGGACAGGGCTGAAGTTGGAGCCTAGACTTGCCTGAGTCTGCACCTAGTGCCCCTGCAACTCTGCAGGGATTGTGCCAGGGAGGGCCGAGTGGGGAGACAGGTCCCCAAAGTGTGCAGCCCCCCTCCAAGGGCTGGGAGTGGGAAGGCAGGAGTACGAGGGGGTCCGTCTGGGCAGCCTCCCCAGTCAGGGTGAGCTCTGGCATGGGTTCTGCTGGGGTGTCAAGGAGGCTGGAGAAGGAGGCTCAGACATCTGAGGTGCTCTCTGCTGGCCTGCATCCCTACCTTGGTGAGGATGAGGATGGCCACCTTCCTCTCACGCTCCTGTGGGCTCTGCAGGCTGGGCAGCAGCTGACGCAGCACCGCTGGGATCTGCCTGCAGTGGTTCTGCACCATGGCCCTGCAGGGGTGGGCCTGGGCTGGTGGTCACTGCTCAGAGCCCACCCTCCTGCCCCCACCCATCTCATCAGGGCTGGCATCCCGGAGGGTCCCAACGTGGCAGGCACGTTCCCACTTCCTTTCCACCCACTGGCTGCCCACTGCGTGCCAGGCTTGGGTTGGACATGCAGGAGACAGAGAAGCAGGCACAGCCCTTGTTCCCTAGGAGGTCACAGGCCAGGGTGAGGGCCGGGGGAAGACACTGCATCAACAGGCTCTGAGCGTGTGCCTGTGACCGGGGGCAGGGGGCCGTGTCCTGTCACTGCAGTCCAGATACCCAGTCCCCTGGATGGGCGTGGCCTGAAGCAGGCTGCCTCGACCTGCCCTGGCCCCACCGTACCTGGCAAGGAGGCCCACGCCCTTCGGGTAGGTGTGGATGGTGGTGAAGAGCTCCCAGGATCCCTGCAGCTCCAGGTGGGCAAAGTCATGCCAGTGCCCCGTGGTGGACAGCAGGCTCTTCAGTGCCTCCAGTGACGTGCTGCAGCTGAGCAGAGGGGGCTTAGGGCTTGCCTCAGGCCACAAGCAGCCCCCTGGGCCACCCCCTGCCCTGGGAAGGGTGCCCACCTGACCCAGATAGAAAGGCACGTTCTGGTTCCTATGCCTGGCGTCACTGAGGCCCCCTGGGGCTACTCCCTCCTGCCCTGTTTTACGCGGAAATGCTGGGACCCAGGATTGGCGGAGCCGGGCCGAGCATGGGGAGGCAGCATGTGCCCAGTCAGACCCCGGGCCTTGCTTGGGCAGGAGACCAGGGGGTGCCCTTCTAGGGAGGGGCACTCTGCTGAAGGGCACCTGCCCTTCAGCTCAAGGATGGCAGCATTTAAATATGGGCCAAGAGTATGGAGGGTAGCAGCGGGCGAGGGCGTGGGAGACTCAGGGCGTGTGGCGTAGCGGAGCCCAGAGAAGTGTCCATTCTCCACTCCTGAGACTCCTGCCCTCAGAGGACATGGAGAAACCCGCGGCACTGGCCCTCGCTTGTGAGTGACGGAGAAACCCGCGGCACTGGCCCTCGCTTGTGAGTGACGGAGAAACCCGCGGCACTGGCCCTTGCTTGTGAGTGACGGAGAAACCCACGGCACCGGCCCTCGCTTGTGAGTGCACGGCTTGTGGTGTCACCGTGTGCTTGGTAGTTGCCAGGTACCATGGATGGTGCCTCACCTGCCCAGCCTGAGGTGGCCCTCTACTGTCGCTGTCCTTCAGCAGAGGAGGGAGCAGTCCTGTCACACAGCCTGGGCAAGGGCACAGAGGTGGGGTCAAGCTGGGCCCTGGCTCCAAACCTGCCAGTGATGTCACTGTCACAGGATGTCACTGTCACTGAACGCAGTCCCTGGGGCACAGGTAGAAAGCCCCAGAATGCAGGCCCATGAAACATGAGATGGCCCTGGCTTGCTGGCCTGTCTCACTGTTCCAGCCACACACCCCTGGCCCGGCCCCTGTGCTCGGTCAGTGTAAGTGCATCACCCTGGATGTGTGAGCATGCCTGGACGAGGCTGTCAGCTTGGACCAGGCACGTTTCTGAGCAGATTTGCAAAACCAAGTGTCAAATGATGAAATGCCATCCGTGAAAGTTCTGACAGTGCCAATCCAAATGCCAGCTGGCTTGTCCTCTCACCCCAAGCTGTGTCATAAAAAAAGGCAGCATTTTCCAGGTCACTGGTCTCAGCCATAATGCGACAATGGTTTTCAGAAGAAGGGGACTTGGTGGGGGGAGTGGCATTTTGTTTGCTCTGGGAGGACTCCAGAAGCTTCTGGTCCTGTGACTTCTTGGGCACTGTATTGGCTTGTTCTTCAAGATTGCCTTGTCCCTGCAGCCCCAGCAGGGCTTCCAGAAAGATGGGCTGATTCAGCATTCTTGGGAATCCATGCCCAACTCCCCTGCAGGTCCATAGAACACAAAACCACCTCCAGCCCAGGACCCCCGGCAATGCTCAAGGACATGTGTCTCCTGAAATCCATACGCAGTCCCAAGACCGATGAAGGTGGAGCCCCTTGAGTCTCTGCCTCGCTGTGGACTCAAGGAACCATCCTCCGTTCCTGCTGGTCTCAACGTCGTTGCCTGCCTGCAGCCTCTTTGGACACTTGGCATCCCAGTGATGCCTGCCCCATACTCGACCAACCGTCCTTTCCCCACTCTGGCCCCGGAGAGGGCAAAGGCACCTGAGAAAGAGGAGGCAAAGCCCCTCTGCTTTCCATACTCCTCCCCAGCCTGAGGGTCCATGAGACCCTCTTCCCTCTCCCATTACCTCCTCCTCTTCTGGTTTTATTTTTAATTGTGGTAAAATGCACATCTCATACAATTTACCGTTTTAAGTGTACAGGTCAGTGGCATTGAGCATATTCATAATATTATGCAACCATCACCACCATCCATCTCCAGAACATTCTCATCTTCCCACACTGAAACTCTGTCCCCATTAAACATTAACTCCCCATTCTCCCTCCATCCAGCCCCTGGCACCCAGCATTCTACTTTCTGTCTCTGTAGATTTGGCTACTCATGGACCTTAAGTAGGTGGACTCACACAGTATTTGACTCAGCAGAATGTGCTCAAGGTTCATCCATGTTGTAGCATCAGAATTTCCTTCCTTTTCAAGGCTGAATAGTATTCCATTGTATGGATGGACCACACTGCTTATTCTAATTCACCCATTGATGAACACTTGTGTTGCTTCTACCTTTTGGTTATCATAACACTGCTGTGAGCAGGGCGTACAAATATCTGTCCCAGGTGCCTGCTTTCCTTTCTTTTGGGTGTACACCCATTAGTGGAATTCCTGGGCCATATGGTAATTCTATATTTAATTTTTGGAGGAACTTCCATACTCTGTTCCAAAGCAGCTGCACCGTTTTACATTCCCACCAACAGTGCACAAGGCTTCTGATTTCTCCACATCCTCGCCAACACTCATTTTCTGATTTTTTTTTGGACAGTAGCCAACCTAATGGGTGTGAAGTTCCTCCTCTTCTTTTGATCACAAGCCTTTGGCCCCAAATCCCCAGGGGACAGAGGGAAAGATGAAGATGAGATGAGGGTGAGAATGATGAGTGCCTTCGAAATAAAGAGAAACGATGTAGCCCATTTGAATTAAATAGAGTTGGCCCACATGGATGACGTGTGAGAACAATGAGAATTCCTTTGTGGGGCAGGGTGGAGACTGGCTGGAGGAGGACCCAGCTGAGAACTGACCAACGCAGGAAACATCTCTAAGGAAAAGGCTTTGTTAGTGGAGGAGCAGGGGAGAGGGAGGCCCCTCTGGCAGGCCTGGCAGCACCTGTTGCAGTCCTGCCCAGGGAAGGGTGCCCTGCTCAACCCCACTCGCTGCTTCCTGGTCCCAGAGGCCTGTCCATCTAAGCAGGACATGAGAACTTCAGAGGCCCAGGGCTGGCCCCATCAGGCCTCAAGACTCCCCTGCTGCCCCATGGTGTCCTGTGCCGCCCCCACCGTTTTGGGCATGCAGAGAGAGTGGCTACTCAGCACTGCTCATCCAGTTGTCCTTCTGGGCCCCTGTCCCCACCTTGACAGTGCCACAGCAGCCTGGCAGGGACCTCAGACCGTGAGCCACCGGGATACACCTGGGTGTCACTCTGCTCTCAGGCCTCCCTTTCTCCCTGGCTCCGTGGTGGTGCTGGGTGGCATGGCTGCTGGTTTGGCAACCGGAGCCTGGGCCCCTTCGCGGTGGTCGAAGAGGCCTGGGCCCATGCCGCTCCCTGGAGGGCGTGGGAGCCAGGCCTGGCCAGTCAGAGCCGCACAGGCCCCTGTGGCCAAGGTGATTGGTTCAGGATTGGGTATGTGAGCAAAGCTAGGCCAATCAGAGCCCAGGACTGTGCCCGTGGTGAGAGTTTTTTCTCTTGGGGCTGCGGGAGCTGCCGGGGCCACCTCCAGGGCTCCAGGAGAACCTGCCCGGAGCGGCCTGAGCAGAAACCACCCGTGGCCCCGCGCGAGGCAGAAGTCCCTGCTATATGGGGAGCCTGAGAGAGACAGACAGACGTCCCAGCTGTATGGGGAGCCCGAGAGAGAGACACGTCCTTGCCGGTGGGGGAACCCACGAGAGACAGATGTCTCAGCTGTATGAGGAGCCCCCAGTGAGACAGACGTCCCAGCTGTATGAGGAGCCCGAGAGAGACAGACAGACGTCCCAGCTGTATGGGGAGCCCGAGAGAGACAGACAGACGTCCCAGCTGTATGAGGAGCCCGAGAGAGACAGACGTCCCAGCTGTATGAGGAGCCCGAGAGAGACAGACGTCCCAGCTGTATGAGGAGCCCGAGAGAGACAGACAGACGTCCCAGCTGTATGAGGAGCCCGAAAGAGACAGACAGACGTCCCAGCTGTATGAGGAGCCCGAGAGAGACAGACGTCCCAGCTGTATGAGGAGCCCGAGAGAGACAGACGTCCCAGCTGTATGAGGAGCCCGAGAGAGACAGACGTCCCAGCTGTATGAGGAGCCCGAGAGAGACAGACAGACGTCCCAGCTGTATGAGGAGCCCGAAAGAGACAGACAGACGTCCCAGCTGTATGAGGAGCCCGAGAGAGACAGACGTCCCAGCTGTATGGGGAGCCCGAGAGAGATAGACAGACGTCCCAGCTGTATGGGGAGCCCAAGAGAGATAGACAGACGTCCCAGCTGTATGGGGAGCCCAAGAGAGATAGACAGACGTCCCAGCTGTATGAGGAGCCCGAGACAGACAGATGTCCCAGCTGTATGAGGGGCCTGAGAGAGACAGACGTCCTTGCTGGTGGGGGAACCCGCGAGAGACAGATGTCTCAGCCGCATGGGGAGGTCCCAGTGAGACAGACAGACATTCCCGCTGTATGGGGAGCCCCCAGTGAGACAGACAGACATTCCCGCTGTATGGGGAGCCCCCAGTGAGACAGACAGACATTCCCGCTGTATGGGGAGCCCCCAGTGAGACAGACAGACGTCCTTGCTGTATGGGGAGCCCCCAGTGAGACAGACAGACGTCCTTGCTGTATGGGGAGCCCGCGAGAGACAGACAGATGTCTCTGGCTCTTCGGGACCTTCCAGTCTATGGGTGAGGGCAGTAAAGCAGGTAAAAGGCGCAGATCACAGATGGTAGCTGATGGCGGGGCTGCGGCGAGAATAAAGCAGCAGAGGGTGGGAGGCGCCGAAGGGGCTGCTATTTTGGAGGGTGGTGGGGGAGGCCTCAGTGAGGTGCGGGTGAGCAGAGCCTGCAGAGACAGGATGGCTGGGGGAAGAACATTCCAGCAGGGGGAGGAGCAGACGGGGTGAGGCTTTCTCCCAACCCTCCCACGTTCCGGGAGGAGAAGGTTTTATTAGCTTATTAGGAAAGATTCATGCATTTTGCATGGTTGAACTGAATAAAAAAGGAACTTCGTGCACATTTGAATTCGGAGGCAAGATGAGAAGAAGTGGCATTTTTTTTAAGTGACTTGCCTTGGGGAGAGCTGTTAAAACTGACAAATTGCGTGACGCACATCATAATACAAACAAATGAAAAGAGTTGGCCCCAGCGGTTTTTAGACTTGCTTATTGGATTTTTGGAAATATGACCTGGTGCAGAGGGAAGATGAAGGCAGGCAGCCCTACTGAGGCCAGAATACGGTGGGCGGGGGAGCGGGCAACTGGCCGTGATGTCAGCCTGAGCATGTGCTGAGGACCAATGAGATGCCCAAGAGGGCATGGAAAGGCATCTGCCCCATGGGTGAGCCCAGTTCGCCTCTGCATGGACATGCTGTGTGGCCCAGGGGAAGCCTCTGACCCTCTCTGAGCCTCAGTTGCCTCATCTGTAGAGCAGGGACAACGACATTCATCTCGAGTCCTCGCAGGAAACCCACTGGGGTAAGATGTGGCTCACTGCATGGGTGCTTTTGGTAACTGCTGTCCCCTTGAGGTCGCTGTATGGCAGTGACACTAAGTATCTCTACTGCCAAGCACCGTCAGGTGACGGGTAAGTGGGACGAACACCTGTCTGCAGGTGCTGCCCACAGCCCCTGTGGCCCTGGCCATGGATGGGGCTCAGGTTCATGACTGTTGTGGGTTGAACTGTGTCCCCCCGAAAAGAGATATATTGAAGTCAACCAACGGTACCTGTGACTGTGACCTTATTTGGAAAGAAGGTCTTTGCAGATGTTATCAAGTTGAGGTCGTTAGGGTGGGGCCCTAACCCAGTGATTGGTATCCTTATAAGAAGGGGAAATTTATTCAGATGCTGAATTTAACTGTTCAACTGCTGAACCACTCAACAGACATGAACGAAAGCTTAATTCTGACAGAGCTGGAAAAAAAAAGGAGGAAATTTAAACACTGGCACACAAGGGAGAATGTCAGGTGACCACAGGGGCAGAGATGAGCGTGGTGCAGCCTCAGGCCCAGGAACACCCAGCGTGGCCATGAGACACTGGGAACCGGAAGCAGTGAGGAAGGCCCCCGCAGGTTTCAGGGGAGCACGCCCTGGTGACACCTTGGTTTTAGACTTCTGGCCTCCAGCACTGGGAGATGTTGCTTTGAGTCCGTGGGGTATGCGTCTTTGTTACTGTGCTCTATGAGGCTAACACAGTCTTTGCCCTCGGATGCCTGCGGAACCCTATGTGTGTCTGGCCAGGCCAGGAGGCCTGGGAGGCTCTAGTCTTACCTTTGGGGGCTGGGCACGGCCGCCTCCTGGGCCTGCTGCTTGGGCTAGGGCTCGCTGGGCAGGTTCAGCTCCAAGACATAGTGCATCTGGGTGAGGAGGGCCAGGAAGAGCTTGGGGTAGCCCTCCTGCACGGCCTGCTTGAACTCCCGGGCAAACTGCAGCTCGTGCAGCATGTTCATGGCCTGTCGGGGGCAGGCGTGGAGTGAGGCTCCCAGGCCCTGGGTCCCGGGACCAGGGGTTCTGACCTACTGTCCCACAAAAGCCACGTCCAAGCATGCTCGTCCCTCCCTGCTGCAAGCTCTCCAGGACCAAGTCCAAGTGTCCACATGCTGTCCCTCCCTGTGGGGCCTGACCCCGTGCCTCTGCAGACTCAGCCTGGCCGTCTCTTGCACCCTCTGGACCCACCGCTTGGGTCTCGCTGCTGCTGGATGGCCTAGTGGTCCCCAGCCTCCCCTAGCTGTCCACCTGGATGCTGTCCGCTCTACACTCCTGCAGACCTCCACCTTGACCCAGGGCCTCCCTCAGACCGCACACTGGATGCCACCATCTGCCCTCTGCACTTTGCTCCTGTCTAAGGGGTGAGCTGCTGGCGTCTGGGCCCTCTGCTCTACTGCCTTGAAGGCAAGGTCCTGTGCTGTGTGGTCTCACGGTACCCTCAGCTCTGTGGCTGGCACACAGCAGGGCCTGATGCCTGGGAGTTGGGGAACCCATGGCCCTGGAAGGCAGAGTCAGCTGATAGCAGCCCCCAACCCCAAAGGCCGAATGTGCCTGCCGGAGCCTTCAGTCCAGAATGTTCTCAGGGTGGGGCCAGCACTGAGCAGTGACAACTGGGGGGAGGGCAGGAACTGGCGGTGTGGTGGGGTGCAGGGAAGGCTCCCCTGCTACCCCTGGGTGGGTCTCACCCATGCTGCTGTGTGGTCCTCTGGTAGGGGGGCAGCATCAGCCCAGGGCCGACCGGGGCGGGGCTGTTGGGGATGGCCAGCTGATAAATCCCCAGGCCGAGGGGGTGCTCTCCCACCGGCTGCCATTGTTAAGCCCTCATCACACCCCTGCTGCAGGCAGCAGCTTGTCTGGGGGGCTCTGGGTGGTAGGGGAGCTGCTGTGAGCTCTGGGCCACTGCTGGGGTGCCTTTGGGGCAGGGACTCAGCCTGGAAAGCTCTAAACAGGAACACAGCTGTGGCCTCATCAGGGTCCAGGTAAGGGGGACAGGTGTGGCCATGCCAGGAGGGGAGCTCCTGGCTCCTGGGAGTGTGGAAGCAGTGCTGGGCTTATGAGGAAAACCAGGGGCTTCCTACAGGGGGGTGGCGGCTGCAGAGGGCAGCCTCTAAGATTCCTCTAGAATCTATGACTCCCCAGAACCCAAGCATGGGGAGGGTTCTCAACTCTCTCCACACCCTTCCCTATACCTGAAGCCCCTCTCTGAGGCCGCCCCACAGTGAGTGAGTGAGTTCCCTTGCCAGCCCAGGGGACTGACACGACTGTCCTGATTCACAGACAGGAGCTCACAGCCCTCGGCTAGGAGGTGGGAGCTGGGCCTGTGTGGTCAGCCCTGGGCGGCTTTCCTCCAGGCTGGGGCTGGACTGGGTGTCTGCAGCCTGGATATGGGGTGCCCCCCTACAGCCCGGCACAGAGTGAGTGCCCGAGGTGCTGCCAGTATTTGATGGGGCGGTGGCAGAGACTCACAGCCAGCAAACGCAGGTAGGTCTTCTCCTTGGGGCAGGGGCTGCTGTCGCTGGCACCGGTGGGCAGGGGTCGCTCCTGCAGACAGGCCAGCAGTGTGGTCAGCACCAGGTGGCTCGTGGGCTGCCCAGCCCCCAGGGCCCTCCACAGCTGGAAGGTGTGGCTGTGGGCAGAGAGGGCATGTGAGGGCAGTGCTGCCACCGAGGCCTGGCTGGGCTCAGCCACATGAGCAGGCCACCATCACCAGGGCCTGGGTGCCTGGAACAGCAAACTTAGGCTGGGCCCTGAGCTGGACCCTAGTGGGATGGGGCTCAGGGCAGATACGAGCATTGCAGGTTGGTGTGGGAGGGGCCCAAGGCGGGGGCTGGACAGGAGGCCCCTGGTCCCTGCCTGTGGTCTCACATCCACACCAGCCCCCTCCTGGATCTCCCCGCTTTCAAGGTCTCTCCGCCAGCTCCTCACTCATACTGGAGGTTTCCTAATGTGCCCTGTCTCCCAACTGCTTGTCATCTTCCCTGGCTCCCAGGTCCTGTAGACCACAGCCCCAGCCGGCACTCAAAGTCACGGCCTCCAAGCTCTCTGCTCTCTGACCTCCAGCCCCTGCCTGTCCTTCCCTTCCTCTGGGCCCCCACATGTGCAGGCCTGGTGTTTAGAGCACTCCTTGTCCCTGACTAATTCCCCCTCAGCCCTTAGGGCTCACCACAAAGTCACTTCCCTCTGGAAGCCTTCCCTGACTACTCCCTCCTAGTCCGGGTTTGCTGGGGCCCAGCTCCTCAGCTGGGTCCTCACTAGCATGAGCACAGTGCTTTACAGTTTGTAGAGTGCCCATTTTGCAGATGGGGCCACTAAGGACCGGAGAGAGGAGACCTGTCCTGATCAAGGCCCTGTCTTGGAACTGGGGATCCTGGAGGCCAGGGCTGTCCAGTCCTGTGGCCTTTCCATGGTTCCATGGGGCATGGCTCGGTGAGGCCTGGAGGGAAGGAAGGGACAGCTGGGTTGCCCTGAGGTGCTGGTGACCATGATGGCCCTGTTTACTGCCCTAAATGGTCTTAGGGTCTGAGTGTTGGGTGGAAGGGGTTCGAGGGGCAGGAGGGCCCCTGGCATGAGGAGGCTGGGGCTGCGAGGACCACAGAAGGGTGGCTCCATGCGCTCCCACCCCTGCTTTAAGACAGACTCAAGGGTGGCTCTCCTTAAAACCCTGGGGAAGCCACTCCAGGACCATCTGACCCTTGGCTAGGTGGGCACGACAGCTCGGAGGACTCTGTGAGTTTCCACCTAGCCGGAAAGAGCCGGGCCTTTGGAGTCAGAAGGGTCTAGGCTCAGACCCCTTCTCTGCCCCAAGCTGGCTGTGTGACCTTGGGGGAGTCACTTAACCCCTCTGAGCCTTGGATTCCTGGCCGCAGAGTAGTGGGCAATGCCTGCCTCAAGAGGCTTAAGCGGGAGGATTCTCCCCGAGCGAGCGTGCATGCCCAGAGGGTGGGTGTTTCTATTCTGCTGCCTGCGGGCCTGCCCCCCAGTCAGCAGGTGTGAGCCGAGCGCCACTGCATGCAGACAGTGTCCCGGGGACCAAGTAGTGGCGGAATCGGCAGGAGTCCCCGGCCTCCTGTGCATGACAGCCTCACGGGGACACAGCAGGAAGCGCAGTGTGCCGGATGCTCAGTGCTGCTTGAGAGAAAAAAGCAGCGTGGGGGGCGGGGGAGAGTCTGGGTGCCTTCGGTTTCAGACAGGGCAGTCGGGGACGCATCCCCTGAGAAGGGGGCACTTGAGCAAAGCCCTGAGGATATCGGGAGGGAGCCAGGCAGCGATGCGGGGGAGAGAAGCTTCCAGAGAGACAGCCCTGAGACAGCTCAATCCTGGTGTGTTCAGGGGACAGAAAGAAAGGCCAGTGTCATTGGGGTGGAGTGGGGAGGGGAGAGGAGGATAGGAAGACGGTGATATCATCGGGGCCACAGCACGACCTTGATGGCTGCTGTGGAGGCTTTGAATGAGATGGGACCACTGGAGGATCTTACGCAGAGACGTGGCATGGGCCTACGTGTGTTCTTCAAGGACTGGGGGGTGGGCGACTGGAAGTGGGCAAGTCACTGCAGGTGAGAGCCGGTGGTGTCCTGGACTAGGGTGGTGGCAGCGGGGGCGGGACACAGGCAGAGGTGGAGCTGGCAGGGTTTCCTAGGGGATGGGATGTGGGTGTAGAGGAGTCGGATGGCATCAAGAATTCCAGCCTGAGATGCTGGGAGCACAGAGTCACCAGCGGTGACATGGGGAAGCCTGCAGGAGGGGCAGGTTGGGGGAGGCCAGGGGTGTGGCCTGGCTGGGTCAGTGGGAGACGCCTGTGTGACATCCAAGGGCTGCCGTCAGGGGGTTAGGGGAGAGGCCTGGGCCAGAGGTGTCAGTATTTAGGGGATATTTGAAGCCACGGGAATGGAGGTGGTCACTGTGAAACTGAGTGTAGCTGAGGAGGAGGATCAGGGGTCAGCCCTGTGGCCTCAGGGCTATGAAATCTGGGAGATGAGGAGGAGCCACTGGAGGAGGCTGAGCGGGAGTGGCCGGGGAGGTAGGAGGAGAACCGGGGAGGGCAGCGTTCCCAGGAGGAGAGAGTCACTGGCTGAGTCAAATTCTGCTGACAGGTCACATAAGGTGGGGACAGAGAATGGACTATTGGACCTAGTGACGTGAGGTTACTGGTGACCTTGACGAGAACCATTTTATTGGAGCAGCAGTGGACAAAGTCTGGTTCATGTGGGTCTAAGAAGGAATGGGAGCTACAAGTCACAACCCAAAGACAAACAACCCAACTCCAAAGTGGAGAAAGGGCTTGAAGAGGCATTTCTCCAAAAAAGATAGACAAATGGCCAATAAGCACATGAAGAGATGCTCAGGGGAACACAAATCAAAATATGTCACTTCACACCTCCTAGGATGGCTACAGCCCCAAGATGAGAGACACCAAGTGCTGGTGAGTATGTGGAGAAACAGAAACCCTGGTACTTTGCTGGTGAAAATAGAGAATGGTGTAGTTGCTATGGAAAATGGTACGGCAGTTCCTCAAAAAGCTAAACATAGTACGGCCACATGGCCCAGAAACTTCACTCCTAGGTACACACCCAAAATAACTGAGAGAAGGGTCTCGAACATGCTGGTATGCCAGTGCTGACGGCATCGTTATTCATGACGGCCCAAAGGTGGAGGCAACCCGAGTGTCCGTCAACAGATGAATGGATAAATAAAATGCGGCCTACCCGTGCAGTGGACTATTATTCAGCAATGAAAAGAAATGAAGTTCCGATACATGCTACGGCATGGATGAACCTTGAAAACATTAGGCGGAGGGAAAGAATCCAGACCCGAAAGGACAAATATTATATCATTCCACTTACATGAAATGTCGAGAACAGCCAAATTCATAAGACAGAAAGTAGATTAGAGGTTATCAAGGGCTATGGGGAGGGGAAGATGGGGAATTATTATTTAATAGTTACACAGCTTCTGTTTGGAGTGATAAAAAAGTTTTAGAATTAGACAGTGGTGATAGCTGTGCAACAATTGCAAATATAATTAATGCCACTGAATCATACACTTAAAAGTGAATAAAATGACAAAGTTTATATTATACATATTTTACTACCATTAAAAATAATGTAATATGCCAAACCCATTGAATTGTACACTTTAAATGGCCAAATTGTAAAGTATGTGAGTTATATCTCAATAAATCTGTTTTTTAAAAAAAGGAATGAGAAGACTTCTTCATCCTCCAGTAGGGGTGCACTAAGCTACTTGAATCAGCTCCTCCATTGAAAACAACTATAAAGGTTGGAGAAAATATAAACATGTAGGCTGGGCATGGTGGCTCACATCTGTAATTCCAGCACTTTGGGAGGCAGAGGTGGGTAGATCACTTGAGGTCAGGAGTTCGAGACCAGCCTGGCCAACATGGTGAAACCCCATCTCTACTAAAAATACAAAAATTAGGTGTGGTGGCACATGCCTATAATTCCAGCTACTTGGGAGGCTGAGGCAGGAGAATAGCTTCAACCCAGGAGGCAGAGGTTGCAGTGAGCCGAGATTGCGCCATTGCTCTCTAGCCTGGGTGATGAAGTGAGACCCTGTCTCAAAAAGAAAAGAAAACATAAACAAGGGTCCTGAGAGTATTAAAGAGATGACAAGACTGTAAGAAACTGCAAGGCCAACATGTGGGGAATATGATGACCCTGAGGGGTTGGGAGCAGGAAAGCTACTGATGCCTTGGGGGCATCTGACAATTCTGGAAAATTAGATCCTTTGTTCTGACAGCCTTGTGGGATGAAGGGACAGAGACCTAAGCTCACAGACTGCACAACATGGTTAATCTCATAGGAGACCCTTGGCCACTTTCAGACTGGTGCCTAAGCAGGTGTGAAAAACCCAAGCAAATTTCAGCCACGTTTGAATTGAATGGGGGCATCCAGGGAATCTGAAGCACTGGATTTGGCTTAAGGTAATCACGGGCTTACCTTAGGTATCCTTAGGTGCTTGGCAGAGCAAAGACAAGTTGTTTTTGTTGGAGGAAAATACCTTAATTGTGGGCCCCAAATCATTCCTACATTTTTTTTTTCCAAAAACAACATCCAGTATGTAGTCAAAAGATAATCAGACACATGAGGAAGGCACACTCCATCGGTAACATACAGCAAGAATAACAAATAAAGTAGATCTGAAAACTTAGATATTAGAATCGTCAGGTATGAACTATGAAACAAATATTTGATTATGAATACAGAAATAAAAGACAAGCTTAAAAATGTCTTCAGGGACTAGGAACCTATAAGTGATAGAGCAGGTGAGAAAAAGAACCAAAATGACATTTTAGAAATAAAAAATACCAAATCTGAAATAAAAAAAATGCAATGGAAAACGTTAACATCACATTGACATGGTTAAAGGAGAATTAGTGAACTAGAAGATAACTCAAAATAAATTAGACAGAATTCAGCAATGAGGGACACAAATATGGGGAAGCAGAAGGGAAGTAAGAAATTGTGTTGAATATCTTCCGCTTGCTCCTGCAGATATAATCTCTGCTGCTCCCCATCCTGCCTCATGCCCCAGGAAGCTGACCTGTATACACTGCATCAAGAAGCTCTCTTGACCTTTGGCTTCCAGTTGACTTGGCTAATGGTAAGCACTAGCAAGAGGTCAGAAGGTGGGAGTGGAGGGAAGTCAGGGTATTTATACCGCAGAGTCTCTCCCTGTGGGTGGCCACAGGATTGCCGTGTCCATCTGTCCTGTGGTCTAGCCATATAGACATCCTTGGTTCTGGGAGCACTCCCATTCCCTGCCCCTTTAGGTCTAGAAGGTGGCAATGAGTCAGCATTGTTACTTTTCCTGGGGCACTGGCCCTTCCCCTGTCAGTCACATTAAACTCTACCCCTTGTCCAAGAGCTCTTTTATTAAATTTTCCACCTCAACCAATTTGAGTGTGTTATCTGTTCCCCCCAGCACTCTGAGTGATCTAGTGAAATAGAGGATATGGTAAGATATTGACATGTGCCTAATCAGTGCCCTAGAAGGAAAGTGAGAGAGAATGCAGGAGAAGCACTATGTGGAGAGATAATGGCTGGGATTCTTCCAGGACCAGAATATTCCAGAACAGGAATTCAAGACAGGATAAACATAAAGAAATCCATTCCTAGACACACTGTGGTGACTTATCAGACAAATAAAAACAAACAAAACAACAAACTTTCCCAAACCAGAAAAAACCAGGGTACTGTAAAACCAGTCACAGGATAAAGCACATAGCACGATGAAAAGAGCAGCAGTCCTGCTGAGAGCTGACTTCTCAACAGCAGCAATGGAAGCCAGTGACAGTGGGATGTTAGCTTGGCGTGCAGAAAGAAAATAACTGCCAATATTGAATTCTATACCCAGTGAAGTGTCTATCAAGATTGAAGATGAAATAAAGACATTTTCATATAAAAACTGAAAGCATTTGCTAACAGCAGACCCAAACTAAAGGGGGTTCTAAAGGATGTGCTTTAGGTTGGAGGAAAATGGCCTCAGGTGAGGGGTGTGAGGCTTAAAAAGAAATTAAGAGCAAAGAAAATAGTGAAAATGGGGGCAACTCTAAATGAATATTGACTTGTGAGATTTAAAAATATACAGAGTTAAACAACAAGGGCATTAAAATTGAGAGTGTGTTAAGTCAGTTGAAGACTCTGAAGGTTCTTTTTTTTTTTTTTGGTCTGGAAAGAAAGTAAAGATGGTAAATTCAATCCCAAATATATAAACAATTATATTACAAGTAAATTGAATAAATGCTTCAATTAAAGACAAAGGTCGTCAGGCTATAAAAACCCAACTAAATGCTGTTTACAAAAGACACATCTAAAACAAAAGAATGTAGAAATAGCAAAAGTAAAAGTCTGGAAAAAGGCATACTATGCAATATCAACAAAAGAAAACTGGTGTTATTATATGACTAGACACTTAATATTAGACAATATAAACTCTAAAAAACTATAGTAATATTAGGCAAATGGAAATCTCCAAGTATATGCAACAGAATGCCCTTCATATGAAAGTATAAAAATTATAACTCACATGAAATTATAATTTATATGAAATTAGAAAAACAATAAAGTACTTTTAGGAATATGTATAGGTGCAATAAAACTAAATAAAAGGAAAGCAAAGTAATGATGAACCTTAGATAGGGTGAGCCAGGGGAATGGAAATTAGCAATGGCGGACAACACAATAGAAACGTGTGCAGGATACTTGAATAGGCATATCACCAAAGAGGCTAAAAAGAAATGAAAAGATGTTCAACTTCTTTATTTAATCATGAAAGTGGAAACGAATACCACAATACTGATTAATAGCACCACCAGACTGACTAAAACTTTGATTACTGGCTAAAAAGTGAATGCTAAGTGTTAGTAAACTGCGGAGTAACGGGAACTCTAAAAAAAATACTGCTGAGAGTGTGAATCAGTACAAGCTCTTTGGAAACATTTTGCATTATGTATTAGAGTTGGATATATGTATAGCTTTATGATGCAGACATTTCCATCCTAGATGCATACACTGTGGAAACTGAGAGCTTATGTACATCCAGGCGCATGTATAAGCAAGTTCACTGCAGCGTTGCTAACCATAGTACCAAACAGGAATTGACCCAAATATTGACCTCTAGTAAAAAGAATAATTGGCATTCATAAAATGGAATACTATACAGCAACAAAAATGAATGAACTACAACATGTTAAAATGAATCTTAGACACATCATATTGGAGGAAAAAAATAAGCCAGACATGCTGGGCATGGTGGCTCATGCCTATAATCTCAGCGCTTTGGGAGGTCAAGGTGGAAGGATTGCTTGAGGCCAGGAGTTTGAGATCAGCCTGGGCAACATAATGAGACCCCATCTCTTCAAAAAAAATAAATTAGCCAGGTGTGGTGATGCATGCCTGTAGTCCTAGCTACTCATGAGGCTAAGGTGGGAGGATCACTGGAGCCCAGGAGTTTGAGGTTACAATGAGCTATGATTGTACCACTACACTCCAGCCGGGGCAACTAAGCAAGACCTTGTCTCAGCAAACAAACAAACAAACAAACAAACACCCAAGCCAAACAACAGAAGAATATTGGAAGACTACATATTGTACAATTCTGTTTATACTTTTAGGACACACCCCACCATGATTTCACGTATTTCTAAGAAAGAAAAAATGGCCAAGATGGGAGTCTTATAGGAGACCCCAACATAGAGCTGGGACCCAAAGGTCTGCATGTACGGTTTAAGGGTGATCGAAATAAACAAACAAAACTCGGCCCTGCAGAAAGAAAAATCGAGAAAACTGTCATGCTTCAGTCAGCACACTGGGTGGAAGTGGGAAGGGGTACGAATGTCCTGAGGATTTGAACCCAAACCTCTTTGGATGCCTGAATTCACACCAATGTGGCCCAATAAAATCTCAAGCAGAGACTTTTAAATTGAAAGTGGTCTCAAACTAACAGTGCCCCCAGGTGCCTGGCAGAAAACTATATAAATCCAGGTGTAAGGCACCATCAGTGAAAAATGCACCCCGATTTCATAAATGTTAAAATGTAAAAAAAAATGCTTCTTAGAATTGAGGAAATAAGATAAAAATTCCAATACATAAAATAGAACTGTAAACTTCTAGGTAGCTGAAGACGATGCCTGTTGCCTAGGCCTCCACCTCCCAAAATTTCCTTGAGATACAACAGAAAAACAAGAAGGGAAATAAAAATGCACAAAAACTATGACTCCAGTGCAAATTCAGAGAGTTCCCAAACTTCAAAATTAAGCACAAAGAGAAGAGTATCAACCTTAGCATGAAATCTCTACTGCTCCCACCCTATCCCGTTCTACCATAAGGCTTTGATAAAGGCAGGCTGAGAGAAACTGAGGGGAAAGAGGGAAGGGAGGAGTTAGCAACAGGGCTTGAGATTGATATAAAGCCTAAAGCACCTTCTAGAAGACTAAGTCCACCCTAAGTCTTAAAAAAAAAAAAAAAGTTCAAGTGTCAGAGCCCCAATCACATAGCAGTGACTTAAAAGTCTGCCTGCTTTGGAGGGCGGTCTTCAAAATGCACAGATTTTGGGAAAGGAAAGGGCAAAAAAGAAAGCAGAGGTATCCTTTGGAGATTAGGTGGTGATAGGGAAAGAGGTAAAAGGGAAAAATGTATGGCCCTGCAATAGAAATGGAACCAAAACATTGGAGGATCCATAATCCTTTTGCTTACCACCCAAACAGTCTATTAAATTATCTGGACTTTGCTGTATTGACAGAAGAGGGTGCCATTGAACTTAAAATCATATAAAACACGCAAAGAACACAAACATGAACAGGAACAAAATGAACAGATCCATAGAATTATTGTAAAAAATGAGAAAACAAAAATCAGCACACACAAAATAAGGAACTCCCCCTGGAAAAAATCACGATGCAGGAAAAAAACCCTAAGACAACATTCATTCTACGTGTCATTACATATGCTCAAATAAGCATTTAAAAATGTGAAAACTACCTTGAATTATGAGTTCAAAAAAGGACAAAAAAATCCAACAGGATCTGAAAAGAGAGTTGATTGACTTCAGGAAAGAAATGGATGAGATGAAAAAATTATCTCAGAAATGAAGGAAGAGTACAAGGTGTCCAAGAGAGATAAGACTCAAATGATAATTTAATAAGGTGCATTTAGGAAAACAAGAAAAGCAACCAAGAGAATGAAAGTGAATTTAAGAAAGAGTAAAAGGGGTCAGAGGGAAAGTAGTGAAAATGGAAGACAGGAGGAATAGCATTTGTATTACTGGAGTCCCTGAGGAAGAAAAACAGCAATGGAACATGACTAATATTTAAAACTGTAACCAAGAAAATTTTCCAAGAATAGCAACCTCAAAAAAATTTCAATTCTTTTTTTTCTTCTGCCCGTGGACGCCCCTGAAGAAGCATCGTTAAAGTCTCTCTTCTTCCTGCTGTCATGTCTAAGTCAGAGTCTCCTAAAGAGCCCGAACAGCTGAGGAGGCTCTTCATTGGAGGGTTGAGCTTTGAAACAACAGATGAGAGCCTTGAGGAGCCATTCTGAGCAATGGGGAATGCTCACGGACTGTGTGGTAATGAGAGATTCCAACACCAAGCGTTCCGGCGGGAGTTTTGGGTTTGTCACTATGCTGCTGCGGAGGAGGTGGATGCAGCCACGAATGCAAGGCCGCACAAGGTGGATGGAAGAGCTGTGGAACCAAAGAGAGCTGTCTCAAGAGAGGATTCTCAAAGATCAGTTGCCCACTTAGCTGTGAAAAAGATATTTGTTGGTGGCATTAAAGAAGACACAGAAGAACATCACCTAAGGGATTATTTTGAACAATTTGGGAAAATTGAAGTGACTGAAATCACGACGGGCCGAGGCAGTGGCAAGAAAAGGGGCTTTGCCTTTGTAACCTTGGACGACCATGACTCTGTGGATAAGCTTGTCATTCAGAAATACCCTACTGTGAATGGCCACAGCTGTGAAGTTAGGAAAGTCCTGTCAAAGCAAGAGATGGCGAGTGCTTCATCCAGCCAAAGAGGTCGAAGTGGTTCTGGAAACTTTGGTGGTGGTGGTGGAGGTGATTTTGGTTGGAATGACAACTTTGGTCATGGAGAAAACTTCAGTGGCTATGGTGGCTTTGGTGGCAGCCATGGTGGTGGTGGATATGGTGGCAGTGGGGATGGCTATAATGGATTTGGTAATGATGGAAGCCATTTTGGAGGCTACAATGATTTTGGCAATTAGAACAACGAGTCTTCAAATTTTGGCCCCATGAAGGGAGGAAACTTTGGAGGCAGAAGCTCTGGCTCCTATGGTGGTGGAGGCCAATACTTCGCAAAACCACGAAACCAAGGTGGCTATGGTGGTTCCAGTAGCAGCGGTAGCTATGGCAGTGGCAGAAGATTTTAATTAGGAAACAAAGCTTAGCAGGAGAGGAGAGCCATAGACGTGACAGGGAAGCTACGGGTTACAACAGATTTGTGAACTTGGTCAAGCACTGTGGTGGCAGGGCCTAGCTGCTACAAAGAAGACATGTTTTAGGCAGATACTCATGTGTATGGGCAAAAAAACTCGAGGACTGTATTTGTGACTAATTGTATAACAGGTTATTTTAGTTTCTGTTCTGTGGAAAGTGTAAAGCTTTCCAACAAAGGGTTTTAATGCAGATTTTTTTTTTTTTTTGCTCCCATGCTGTTGATTGCTAAATGTAATAGTCTGATCGTGATGCTGAATAAATGTCTTTTTTTTTTTTTAATGTGTTGTGTAAAGTTAGTCTACTCTGAAGCCATCTTGGTAAATTTCCCCAACAGTGTGAAGTTAGAATTCCTTCAGGGTGATGCCAGGTTCTATGTGGAATTTATGTACAACCTGCTTGGGTGGAGATGCCATTGTCTTCAGAAACCTTGGTGTAGTTGAACTGACAGTTACTGTTGTCACCTGAAGTTCACCGTTAAAAGGGATGGCCCAAGAAAAGTCATGGAATTAATTGGTTATAAAAATGATTGTTGGCACATCCTATGAAATATATGTAAATTGAATAATGGTACCAGATAAAACTATAGATGGGAATGAAGCTTGTGTATCATCCATTATCATGTGTAATCAATAAATGATTTAATTCTCTTGAAAAAAAAAAAAGATCTCAATCTACATAATCAAAGGAGGTACCAGGTGCCTGGGAACATTAACCCCGAATGATCAGCTCTGAGACATTTCCTAACTAAATGATTAGATTTCAAAGATTACAAAAAAATCTTAAAGTCTCTGGGCAAAAAGAGCAAATAACTTACAAACGCCAAAAAAACCCCTATTGTCATTAACTTTTAAAAAACAACGCAAGGCAACGATGCAACAGCATTTAAAAAATAATAAAAGAAAATGTGAACAAAGAATTTTATATCCAGCCAAACCATTCTTCAAATAAAGAACTTTCAACATAAAAGAACCTAAAGAATTC
>NT_187575.1:0-36640 GCF_000001405.40 Homo sapiens
CGGCCAGAGGGTCCGAGGGACACACAGGAGCACTGTGCCCGCCATGGGCGCTCCACCCTTGAGGCTGAGTGGCCCAAGGGAGAGAGCTGTGCCAGTGCGGACAGCACCTGCTGGGGTGGGCCCACCCCAGGACCAGACCAGGAGCCGGAGCCCAGGTCTGGCATATAGCATAGAGTGAGCAGACACCCCAGGATATCAGTGCCACCCTGGCAGCCTGGGCAGTGACTTGGCATCAGTGCCCTAGGAGGCCGGAGGGGGTGGCCCATGGAGCAGGGAGAAAAACAGCACTGAAAAGGAAGGACGTCCTTCCTCTCCCCCTCCCCTCCCCTCCCCGCTGAAAGCTCACAAGGATGCCGTGGTGGAGGGCAGGCTTGTGTGGGAAGGACAGGGCTGTTTACAGGATTTGGGGTGGTTTCTGAGGGGATGGCACTTATGCCCCTAGCCTGGGTCAGGCAGGTGGTCTAGGATGAGGTTCTCAGGAGAGCCCACACCCACCGGCTGCCACGCCAGGATCGCCTGAGACCCGACACACCCAGAGCCCGATGCTGGGTCTGCAGGGGCCCAGAAATCCCCAGCCTTGTAGGCCCCTGGGGCACTGGTCCGGGGACATGTGCAGGGGGAGAAGGTCAGTGCTTCGTGGCCAGGAGACGTGTGGGGACCAGGCAGCGTGCACAGGCATGACAGCCTGAGTTTCTGTTGCTTAGAATACCTGAAACTGAAAGGAAAAGCAACTTATTTCTTATGATCATGGAGCCTGAGAAGTCCAGGGTTGAGGGGCTGCATCTTGCAAGGGCCTTCCTGCTGTGGGGACCCTGCAGCGCCCTGAGGTGACGCCAGGCATCCCCCGGAGAAGGGGCTGAGGCTGCTGGCTCAGGTCTCTCGTCCTCTTCCACGCTGGGCATTCCCTGGCGAAGGGGCTGAGGCTGCTGGCTCAGGTCTCTCCTCCTCTTCCTGTAAAGCCACTGGTCCCACTCCAGTGGTAACCCATTAATCCATTAATCCACAAGTGGATTAATCCATTGATGGGAGCAGAGCCCTCTCGATCCAATCCCCTCTGGAGGCCCCACCTCCCAACACTACCACATCAGGACTCACGCTCCAATATGGTTTGGAAGGGGTCACTCAAATCATAGCATTCTTTTGTCTCCAGTTGTTTTTCTGTTTGGTTCGGGAGGGTCAGGGAGCCAGCCTTATCTTTGGACACCGCATGGATTTAGAATGTTTTTAGACCCTGCCCCAGAAGGAACAGCTGCTGAGACAGAGAAGCAAATAATGCCAGGGTCTCGGCACTGCAGAGCTCACTCTCCCCATCCTGTATTTCCCTCAAGCCATCAAATCCCGCCGTCAGAGCCAAGAGGCAAAGGCCGATCAGCCTGTTTTGCTCCTTCCCTTGTAAACATCAGCAATTATTTTTAGCATACGTGGCATAAACCACCCCCCTCTCCCAACCATCTCTCTACTTTTGTGACCCAGTGGCCTTGCCTCGGCCTGGTGTCCCTCCCCAGTCTTGTCTCCAGCAGCAGCGGTGGCACCCAGGGCTGTCTTCCAGCGTCAATCTGACCTTGTCACCAGCTGCCATCACTGTATCTGCAGACGTTGGACGATGCCTATTGAACAGACAAGGACTAGTAGACAGGAAACCCTAGCCCTCTGGGACACACGGGCAGCAGAAGGATCCTTCCCCTGCAGTGCCCCCAGCCTCAGCTCCTCCCTCTCCACTGCGGTGAGCAGGAGGGCACCAGGGCCAGCTGAGAGTGACTGTATCACCAGGCATCTTGCCCCCTCTCACAGGCCTGTCTGACATTCTCTGCATGGACGAACTTTGAGGACAGCAGCTTGTGATGTGCATGATGGTTTGAAATTAAAGTGGAAATATCCTGACGTGAATGGCTCACGATCCTTGGCATGCTGAAATGGGGCTGACCCTGTGGAAAGCACGTGGAGGGAGGGGACATCTCCTGGTGGCCGACCTGCCGTCCCTCGGGCATTCTGGCAAGTCACGTGTGTGTGGAGGTGAATGAAAGCCCCACACTTTGGGCAGTGGAGGAGTAGGATGGTAAATCCCATTGCACGAGCAGGTGCCAGGCCAGCCTGGGAGCATCTGTGGGGCGAGCAGCAGGTGGGACCCGCAGCCCCTTGGTGAGAAGGCAGCTGGCTGATTGTGCCCCTAGAGCTGGGGCCTGGCAACACCTGTCTGGGCAGAGTGCAGCATGGGCACTGGAGAGGGCACGAGACTCCAAAATCCAGGGTCGAGTCCGCACCTTCTCTGCTGTGTGACTGTGGACGCATCAACCCCTCCCAGGGCCCAGCCTTCAACATCTGGAAGTCCAGGGGCTGATTCCGGGAACACATACAGATCCTTGGCCACGTGCCAGGTATGTGCTAGCCTAGAGCAGGCAGAGGCGAGGTTGGCAGGCACATGCGTGGGCCTGCAACTCGGAGTGTCACCCGGCTCTGAGTGGAAGCACAGCGCAGGCGAAGCTTCCCACAGAAATTGCTCTCCCTGGTTTCTGCTGTTCCCTCAGAAACCACCCTAAGTCCTGTAAACAGCCCTGTCCTCCCCACACAGGCCTCCCCCCCACCATGGCATCCTTGTGAGCTGCTGTGAGTGTGAGGGTGTGCAAGGGTGTGGGCTTTGGGACTATGTGTGTGTGGGTATGCGTGTGCATGTGTGATGAGGAAGGGTTTTTTTTTTTTTTTTTTGTGTGTGTGTGTGTGTGTGTGTGTGTGAAGCAACTTCGCATGGAGCCCATCAAAGCCTCCCCGAGCATGTGCATCTCCCTGGGGCTGAAGGAACCAGCAAGGTGGGGTCTGGGCTTGTGTTGCCTCTGGAAGGAACAGCTATTGCAAAGGCCCTGAACAGGAATGGCCAGGTGACCTCAATGTTTCTTTCCAGGAATGGATTTGGGATTTAAAGGAGGACAGAGTGGCAAGCTAGCCAGAGGAAACTCCTAGAATTCTGCACACACAGGACCGGACTGCAGGCAGCTCTGTCTGTCTCCCCGCCTATGGGAAGTGCTGGCTTCTGGGGGCTCAGCTGTCATCATCACCCCAGGACTCCTGCCCAAATCCTTACCCCATGAATCTCAGACCACGCTTGGAGCAGGCCCAAGGCCAGGACTCTGTCTGGTTTCTGGTCGTCCACACCACAGGCCCCAAGTGTTCCTCCCTGCCCAGACTCTGTGTCATTTCAGGAACTAGCCCCAGAGCCGACAGACCAAGGTCCCAGGGAGGCAGGTTTAGCTCAGTGTGATGACACATCTGAGAAAGCTGCTCAGTAATGAGACGCAGTAAGCCTCCCATCTCCAGTGGTATTCAAGCAGGAGGAAGGGCTACCTGGTGGGGACACTGTGTGAGGAAGCTGAGCCACATACCTTTATTTTTTCTTGAAGTTATTTTAGGGGATTAAGTGGTGCTCCCTCCCCTCCTATATGTCCACATCCTACCACATCCTAACCCCAGAACCAGCAGATGTGATCTTGTTTGGAGAAAGGGTTTTGCAGATGAAATTAAGGATCTTGAGATGGGTTTCTCCTGGATTATCCTAAGGGCCCTAAGTCCTTATAAGAGACACCCGGAGGAGTGGAGAAGGCCCCGTGAAGACAGGGCAGAGCTTGGAGTGGCACAGCCAAAGCCAAGAAGCTTCTGGAGCCACCAGAACCCAGAAGAGATATGGACGGACGCTCCGCCAGATCCATGGGTGGGAGCGCGCCCCTGGCAGCACCTTGATTTCAGATTTCTGGACCCCAGAGCCGTGAGAGAGTGAACGTGTGATGGCTTCAGCCACCCAGCTTGTGGCATTTCATCATGGTTGCCCTGGGAGGCGAATGCAGTTATGCACATACATGGATTCGCTGCCAAGGTCTCCAACTTGCAAGTTCTCTTGGGCTTGCCATGGGACCCTCCGTCCAGCCTGCCCTCCCTACCCTTCCAGCTCCCCAGAGGCAATCATCTTCACCCTTTTCCCTGGTGATTCTGATATTTTGCCTCTGTACCTCCAGATGGCACGCACACACACACACATGGCTTGTCGATTTCTCGGTCTCGGGCTTTGTCTACTGACTCCCGCCGTGCAGGATTGGGATGCAATGTTTGTGTTTTTAGCACTTCCACGAGCCTGCCTGCTGCCTGCCCCCACCCTCCCCGCAGTCACAATGCCATTTCAGCAAGATCGATACTGCAAACGCACTGCCACGCTGAGCCCATCATACAGGACTTCTTTTTCTTCTCCTGAGTCCAGTTTCCCTCCTGGAGTTAATAATGGTCTTATTTTTTCATTTGCTTAGTTTTCTGTACCCTTAACACTAATTCCACCTCAAACTCTCCCCCAGTTGTGCAAACACATCAGGACATTTAAACATATCAGGCATCCTACTAATTTGATCTCTTTGAAGAAATCGCTCTCCCCGGGCCTGGTCTGTCTCAAGGCCATTACCCGGCTCTCTTCTTCTTGAGAGGCTTGTTCAGGAATTCCCAGCTGTCTGTCTTGCTCTTTTTTGCCTGACTCCTTCATCTCGGTGGAGCAAATTCTTCTGGAAAAGGTGTGTGGAGGCCCCTCTGAGCCTCTGTGGAACAAGCATATTTATTGTGCCCCCTGCTAGGTGGATAGCTTGGCCGGATGTGGGGCTCTAGCGGGGACCTCTTTCCCTGAGAACATCTGGGCCATGCGTTCGTGTCTCCCGGCACCCGGCCCTGCCCTTGAGACCAACACCATCCTGATTCTTGATACTTTCCGTGAAATGCGTTGGCTCACTGGTTTGGTTTTTGTCCTCTCTGGAAACTGTTCAGATGCTCTCTTTGTTCTCTGCATTCTGAGACATCGTAGCGCCGCCGTTCCTTGCTGTGGGCTGGTTTTCTTCCTGGGAGCTGTGATCTCTGGCCCAGTGACTCGGAAGTTGCATGCCTGCTTTAGCTGGCTAGGGCCGCCATGGCAAAGTGCCACAGACTGGGGCCTCAACAACAGAAATGAATGAATAATCTCACAGCTCTGGAGTCTGGAAGTCCCAGACCCAGGCGTTGGCAGGGCCGCTTCCTCCTGAGTCCCCTCTCCTTGGCTTGTAGATGGCGTCTTCTCCCATGTCCTTGCATGGTCGTCCCTCTGCTGGTGTCTGTGTCCCCATCGCGTCTTCTTATGAGGACACTAGGCATGCTGCACTGGGGCCCCACCCACGTGAACTCACTTTATCCCAGTCACCTCTCTCAAGGCCTTGTTTTCAAACAGCCACATTCTGAGGTCGTGGGGGTTCGGGCTTTGATGCAAGAATTTAGGGGATGACACAGAACATATTGATGCCCTTTCTTCTGGGGAGTAGCTATAGAGCTATTTCTCAGACATCGCTTCCCCTCTGCTCTCTTGGTTCCCTCTTTCTAGAATTTCTATGGTTAAAATGCTGGCCCTCCTAGGCTGGCCTGTTATTTTCTTCTTAGTTTTTCTCTGCTTTCTGTGGCACTTCCCCACCTGATCCCTCACCGCCCGTGGCTTTCGTTTCTGCTCCATGCTCTTCTCTCTCTGGGCTCTCAGCCCCCTACTGTGTTTTCCTGCATCCTGTTCATGTCTTACTTGCACCTCTAAGGATGCTGGCCACCGTCCGTTTACCGGCTTCGCCTCCATGTCTTCCAGGTTGCCGTGTCTTTGGTCATGGTGCTCTGTTTCCACCATGGACACTGTTGTCTGTTGGGTGTCTCCAGGCTGGGTGTTGCATTTAGAGGACACTCAGAGCCTGAATAAGGCCTGTGTGGTGTGAAGTGGCCTTGTTGTGGGCTGCACATAGGGTGACCCAGGGGAACCATGTCCCTGGGAGACAGTGGGTCCGTGTCTGTGCGTCTCTCTCCAAGCTGGTCAGATTCCCCGGGAAAGACTCTCCACACTTGTCTGGGACTGGCTTTCCAGAGGCTGCACACAGATTCCGACTCAAGCCCTACTCCTAGGACAGTCCCTGTCCCTGCTGTGATCCCCGCGGTGCCTGCCTGAGACAGACACTGTCTTCCTTGCCGTCTCCGCAAAATAAGCTTCCATTCTTCTGTGGAGGTGCAGAAGGGGCAGTCACCCAGGTTCTCAAATCGGAAAAAGGGTCTTGGATCCACCTCTGGAAGTAGACTTGCAGCAAACCTTTGTCCCATCTACAGCCCAGCGTCGCCCCCTGGGAGGCCTGCACCTTTGGGTGGCTGTAGTCACGATGGCACTGCTGTTTCCCCACGGCCGGCTGAGGGCTCCGCTGCCTTGTGTCTGCTCATCCATCTGTGAATTACCTTTGAAATTTCCTAAAACCTAAAACTGCTCTAAACAATGAGGCCTACTAAACTATGTATAATTACTTTGACAATGGCCTCTGGAAATAGAATAGCTACGAAGCACTTTTACAAATGTTGCATTGCTACTTTCCCACATCCAGGAGGCAGCATTTTCATCTGCTTTCAACCAAAGGGAAGTGGAGGGAAAGGGTCAGAAGGTGGGGAGGGTCCCAGCCTGGGCCATGGTGCTGGGTACAGGAGAAGGTCCCTGTATACTTAAGGCGCTCAGGGCCCGTGCCCCTCGTCCTGGGGCCACAGGTGCAGAGGGAGAAGGGCAAGCCTGAGATCACAGTCACCAGGTGATGAAGCTTCTCCTAACCCGGCATTCCTCTGAAGACCTTTTTTCCTGATACTTTTCTGTTGGGCCAATTGGTTGGAACTGAGGCCGTTATAGCTATGAGCTTCATACCTTTAATTTCTCCAGGGAGAGAGAAAAATGACTTCCCCATCAGCTCAACTCACATGATCATAGCTCATCCACTGAACCCCAGGGCTTCAGAGCCAGAAGGCCCTGGGAGATGCTCTGAGTTTGGATTGGCAGATGGGAGCATTGAGGTGCCTGCCCCCCTGCAACCACGGTAGAGCTCCTCCTTCAGGCCCAGCCTGCGCAGGCATCCACAAAGCCCTGCAGGCAGTGGGGGCCTCTCACCTGTGGCCACTTCCCCACTGCCTCTCTCTGACCCTGAGATCTGACTCTAATTTCTCACCAGGTGCCTTGGGCACGCATTGATTCTCTGCCGCTGCCGCATAGCATGAGAATCTCTTTGACCCTCTGCAGGGATGGCTTCTCCATAGACCAGAGGTGGGACCCTTCTGAAAGCTGCCCTCCTTGCCCTAACTGGGAAGCCATATCTGACCTGGCAGGCTGCATCTTCTGTGTCGCACCTGCCCTGGCCACCTCTGCTCGCCTCCTCCATGGGGTGCTCCACAGATTCATAGCTGTCTGCCTGCTTGTCTGCATCCCCATCAGACTGAGAAATTCAAAGCAAAAACAGCCTCCCTCCATTCCTCAGTGCACAGCCCATAGCAGGCACTTGGATGAGTAGCATCTGCTGTGAAACAAATGACCTCAAACGCCGTGGCTTCAACCAGCACGTGGTCCCTGGGGTCAGGAGCCCGGGATACCCTTGCTGGGTCCTCTGGTCATGGCCTCACAGGTGTGGTCAAGGTGCTGGCTAGGGCTGCTGTGGTCTCATCTGAGGCCTGACTGGGGAAGGCTCTGCTCCCATGCCCACCTGACTGTTGAGGGTTCCGTTCCCTGGGGCTGTGGGACTGAAGGCCTCAGTTTTAGGCAGCTGTTGGTCAGAGGCACTCCCAGTTCCTTGCCGTATGGGTGTCCCCAAAGTGTCCACTTGCTTCAGCCAAGCCAGCAAGAACGGCTGCTAGCAAGACTGACGTGGCAATGTTTTGTGACAAAACTACAGAAGTGATGTCCCATCTCCTGGGCCCTAGTCGATTGGTTAAAGCAAGTCCAGGACACACTAAAGTGGGGGGATTGCATGGGAGTGAATCCCGGGAGGGGGCACTCATGGGGTGCCCCTAGAGTCTGCCTGGTGCTGCACTCAAGATATTGATAGAAAGAATGCAGGAACAAGTGAGGTGAGTTTTCCTTGGAGAGGGAGGCTGGGTTCAGGCTGCACACCTTGAGTGTTGGGAGGGGAGGCCTGGCTGCAGCCCCAGCAGGATGGCCATGGCAGATGTGAAGTCAAGCTCCAACCTCCGTCCTCCTCTCCAGCCAGCCTGGGTGGCACTGTGGGCAAGGCTGCATGGCCAGGGAGCACTGGGCGTGGATCCTCTGGGGAGCTGAAGGCATCATATGGCTGTTGGCAGGCGTGACTGCCATTGGCACAGGGATGGGACTGTGCAGGGCCCAGCAGCCCATGCAGAGAAGTCAGCCTGGGGAGGGGAGGGGTGAAGCTAGAGTTACATTTGAAGGCAGAATTTGGCTCCGTGTGAACAGATGGGGAAGGGGCAGGAGTGTGAGCTGGGACCTGGCTGGAGGCCTATGAGAGCCTATGGGAGTTTGCAGCAGCTGCAGCCAGTGGAGCCAGGAATACGTGGAAGGAAGCGGGATTTGGTTGTCTGCACCCCACGGAGGGATGAGGACCAAGGTGAGGTTGGGATTGGTAAGGGTACTCTGGTGGCCCCAAGCACGATTTGGACCTTGGACACTTTTTAGCATAATCCAGATGGAGAAGTTCCTTGGGCCTCTGCACGGGGGGCCAGTCAGATGATGACTGGACTTCAAAGCCAAAATCCACACACAAACACCATCTTTCTGTCCAGTGGATTTCTTCTGTGTCATCTTTAGCGGCAGGCAAGACAATTGTCCCCAGGCGACCAGGGGAGGACTTCAGGGTGAGGACCCAGGCAAATGCCTGCATGTGCCCAAGAGGAGACCCCATCGGGAAGCAGAGGATGAAGATCAGGAAGGAACAGAGGCAGCCAGATCCCGGCCCCGCATGCAGGGCAGGCAGGCTGGCTTGGTGGCCCACACTTCCCTGGGGAAGGAGTGTTCCGTGCAGCCTGAGGCCCTTGCTGAGAGGCCAGGGGTGGAGGGAAATGGCTCAGAGAGAGGGAACCAGCCTGCCAGGGGGATTTGCTGCAAAGCAGCCACACAGCGGTGAAGCAAAGCTAGTGGTATTTAGCTGTGTGTGGAAGGCTCATTTTTCTGCCAAGGAAAACAACAATTCTCCTGTCCAGAGTGTCCCAAACTCCTTGGCAACTGTGACATCCAGTTGCTCTTGGAAGCCATTGTGAGATGCTGGGTCTTATCTCCTCCCGGGGCTCTCTTATTTCACTCCGTGCTAACTGCTGCATTTAAGCTCTGGTAAATGATCACAACGTGGGCAAGACAGCTTGGCCTTCAGTGGCATTTATTTTTTCCTTCCTGGCCAAATGCTGACATATAAAACTCAATTTCATTTTGAAGAAAGGCAGGCGGCTGTGTGTTTGTTTAGACCCCTCTCAAAGACGAAGGGTCGTGGCAACCGCTTGAGCCTTCTTCCAGCTCAGGTGGGAGAGTTCAGCACGGCCAGCATGGCTGGAAGTTGGCCTGGTAGGGATCCTCGGAGGAGCGTGAATTAATGGGAAGGGGGGGTTCTGAATTCTGCAGACCCAGTCCTGTCTGCCCTTCCTGGACCCGGGCTGGGATCCTGGTGACCCTGTTGGATCAGAGCTGGTCCCTTCCCCACCGAGCCTCAGCTTCCCTCTGGGGGAGTGGCGGCTCTCTCATCTGGGGGGTGAACCCCAGAATCACAGCCTTGACTGCCCTGGCCCCACGAGGGCACAGCCTGGCTTGTGTGTCTGAAGGCCGGGGACCGCTCTGCTCCTCTCGATGTCTGTGAGCAGCTGTCGTCCTCTCCTCAACTCAGCTTTCCAATCAGCTGAGTGGAAAGGGGTGGCACCGAGGTTGTGCGGCTGTAACGAAACGACACCGAAAGTGCCGTTGGCCCCGAGCCAGGCACGGAGCGGGCCCTGATCACTGTGGTGTGTGTTTCCCGTCCTCTTGGTCTGAGTGGATGAAAATTTAAAGGGGCCCTCCCAGTGACGTCTGCAGCTCAGAGGCAGTAGACGATGCTGCGTGGCACAGGTTTGGGGAACAGTGAGTCCCTGGAAGGGAGCTGGGGCGGGGTATTCGGACCCCTCGGGCCCCTTGGACCCACATGGACCCCTCACTCCTCCTCAGCTCCTGCTTCCCTATCTTAGCGTCTCTCACAACCTGGCCTTTCTACACACTTTTGTTTTGCTTCCACTGGAGTAGATGGGAAGAGGGCTCTCTGCCCCCTCCCTGGGCTGAAATTTTACATCTATGCCCTCTACCGAGTGAGTTGACAGAGCCCCCACTGCGAGTGGAGGGCACGGCCCTGCCCACGGGTGCTGGGCTTGGATGTGAAACATGGCTCGGCCAATAGGACGTGGTGGAAGTGGGTCAGGGCCACTTTGGGGACACTGTTCATTTCCTCTCACCCCTCTGCTGCTCTGCCCTCCACTGCAAGGCCAGCAAGCCCTGCTGGCTACTGCCTCATCAGCCTGAGCCCAGAACCAGGCCCCGGAGGCCTGGGCGTGCCTGGCTGGGCCCAGGTGAGACCCGCAGACTCCTGTGCTTAGAAGCAAATGCCGGCCATTAGGAACCAGTGAGGCATGAGATTCATTGTCTGCAGCAAAAGCCGCCTAAACCCTGCAGACAGATGTGCTCCATGAGGCGGGAACCACGTCTGTCTCGTTTCCTGGCAGCTCTTTGCCCAGAAAAGTGCACAGAGCTCCACACAGTATTTGATGAATGAGTAAATGAATAAGAAAATGAGGCCAAAAGGAAGACATTGTGTTTCTGAAGTTGTACAAATAATGAGTGATGGATATTGCCTGGGTCTTTGGGGTCCCTTTTCTGGGGCGTTTCTTCAGTGCCATGTGACAGTGACGTGGTGAAAAGCACGGTGATGGGAAGAACTGAAGTTAGAAGTGCTTGTGTGTGTCTTCTCCCCTGGCAGCACCCCTCTGGCTCTCAGCAGGTGGCTGAGCCCTTGGGGGATTGGGAGGCCCCAGGGTCCGTGAGCTGATATCTGGAGAGGCCAGAGCTGACCATGGAATGTCCATTTCTGCGGGAGACCTGGGAAGAATGAAACTTGCCCTGGATGAATATAAAATCTGATCTAATATTTTATAATGCTGACTTATGATTCAGATTTTACTTAGTGGTGGCATTTTAGGCACTTTCACTGAAGGAAGAACGGATTTTCATTGAGAGATGTGAAACCCACATTGAAACTGGTTCATTTGGCTGCCTGAGAAGGTGGAGGCTGTGGTGGTGGTGACGATGGTGGAGAAGTGGAACCAGGAGGAGGAGGCTGGATGCGGCACCAAGGCAGTGCCTGTCGCTGGGCCTGCACCCAGCCTGGTCGATGTGAGATGCTCCCTGCCTCCTGCACTGTGGGTGCCAACCCTCCTCCATGCATGGCCGAGATGCCCCTGCCCACTGCACTGCAGTGACCCCTCAGGTAGAGCCTTCATCCCCTCTCCTCCCACATGTAAGGAGCAGAGGCCTAGGAGGGGTGCATTCCCCAGGTGGAGAGCAGGCCTGGCATGGGCTCGGGGGACTGGGCTCCTGTGACCTTGGTCATCTCACTTGATCGTGCCCCAGGCTCCTTGTTGTAAAGCGGGGACAATAATGGACCCACCATCCAGGACTGTCCTGAGGGCAAAGTGGCTAAGCCCGACCACAGTCCAAACATGTCCTCAAACCTCCATGTGCTGGAAGCTTAATTGCCAAAATAACAGTATAGAGAGGTGGGCCTTTATGAGTTGACCTGGGCATGAGGGCAGAGGCCTTGTGAGTGGATTAGAGCCTTTATCTCGGGGTGAGTTCTCACGAGAGCAGGTTGTTCTGCGAGCAAGCTGGGCTGACTCTTGTGGTCTCTGTCACGCGCACTTGCTTCCCCTCCCACTTTCCTGCTGTGTTTGAAGACAGTGTGAAAGCCTGTCTAGAAGCTGCTGCCCTGCCCTTGGACTTCCCGGCATCCAGAACCCGAGCCAAAAAAAGTTCATTTTTAAAAAAATTACCCAGTCTCAGGGATTCTGTTATTGCAACAGAAAATGAACTTAGACGTATGCTTACAACACACAGCATAGTGCTTGCCATGAAGGAACACCTGTTAAATAAATAATAGTGGTTGGTGGGTGGGTGCGGTTGTCATGAGTGTCCTTGTCAGGGCTGGTGTGGGTTGTTAGAGCAGCCGTCAGGATTGCTGCTGCCAGTGCTGTGCTCTTGTCAGAGTTGATGTCACTGTTGTCAGGGTTGCCATTGTCAGGGCTGTTGGTGATGATGCTGGGAGGGTTGCTGGCCCCAGAATTGCTGCTGCTGTTGTTGCTGTCAGCATTGCCATGAGCGTTGCTGCCTATGTTGATATTGGTGGTGTTATCATGGTGGCTGTTGCCCATGTTGTTGGTGGTACTTGGGTTGGTGTTAACGTGCTGTGGTTGATGTGTCACTGTTAGTGTGGATGTCAGTGTGGTTGGCATGCTGGTGTCCATGTTGCTGTTATTAGTGGTGATGTCAGTGTTGCTGGTGTGCTGTGGTTGGTGCATTGCTGTTAATGTGTGTGTGAGTGTTGCTGCTGGTGTGTTGTGGTTGGTGCCTTGTTGTTAGTGTCTGTGTGAGTTGCTGGTGTGTTGTAGTTAGTGTGCTATTAGCACCTGTGTGGGTGTTGCTGGTGTGTTGTTGTCAGTGTTGTTGTGTGTTGCTGCCAGTGCTGGTGTCAATGCTGTTATCAGTGTTGTTGTGTGTTGCCATGCCATGGTTAGTTGTGTTCTAGTCCATGTGCTGTGGTTGGGGCTGGCATTGCTGGTGTTGGCATTGGTGTTGTTGGGGTTGGGGTTGGTGGTGGTGGTGGTGGTGTGGTGTTGTTGGTGTTAGTGTTGGTGTTCTGATGTGGTGTTGGTGGTGTTGGTGTTGGTGGTGTTGTTGGTGTGGTGGTGTTGGTGTGGTGTTGTTGGTGTTGGTGTTGGTGGTGTTGGTGTTGGTGTGGTGTTGTTGGTGTTGGTGTGGTGTTGGTGTTGGTGGTGTTGGTGTTGTTGGTGCTGGTGTTGTTGGTGTTGGTGTGGTGTTCGTTGGTGTTGGTGGTGTTGGTGTTGGTGTTGGTGTCGTGTTGGTGTTGTGTTGGTGTGGTGTTCTCAGGGCTGTTGTCCGTGTGTTGCTGTCGGTATCACTGTAGTTGATGTCATCAGTGCTGCTGCTGGTGCTGGTGTCGGTGAGGCTATTGGTGTGCTGTGGTCAGTGTGACTGCGGTCAGCATGTTTGCCTGAACTGGACTGCATCTGGTGCAAGGAAGATGTCCCCAGTGTCCACGGTGTCTCCTGGGTAGCTGGACCCTCCCTGTGCCCTGTGTACTGGTGGAAGCATCAAGCATTATTCTCTTTTTAAGGATGAGGAAACAGAAACAGAACAAGTCTCCGTGGCTCCTCCACAGTCACACAGCAAGTGGGTGCAGAGCTGGGAGCACAACCTGGGCACCTGGTCCATGGCTTGGCACTGGGTCTGCTTGCCACAGGGGGACAATTGACTCCCTGCCTTCCCAGCTGCTATCTTAATGACACATATTTCATGGAGAATTGTAGATGGATAGCTTGGGCATTCTTTCCAGAGAAGCTGTCAGTTCAGATTAGGCTCCAAGGGGTGACTGCACAGTTGGTAGATGTCACATAAAAATGATAATAACTTTTGCATTTCTGAGGACATCCATTATGTCGAGAGAAGTGGGCAAGGGCCCTTCAGAACTGGGTGGTGACCTATCTGTCATGCCCCCCTGTTCTCCATCTGTACAGAATGAGGGTGCTAGGGTCAGAGTCTCATCACATGCTGGTATGGGCTGGTGACACAGGAAAGAAGGTGGCTTGGATTCTATTGGCTGTGGTGTCTTCTTCTCAAGGCTGGCAGGGTAGAGTGAGCTGGAAGTGACTTTTCCTGGGATTCCTCCTCACTGTGGCTGGGCTGAGGCTTGTGGGAGGAGAGGTTAGGCAAGGAAGACACACTTCCCAGGGGTCAAGTGCTCAGCTCCTTGGCTTTAGTGCTGTCTCAGTCCCTGGGCCACTTTTGGCATCCGAAACCCTTGCTGATGTCTGCCCTGTTCCATCCCAACCTCCAGACATAAGGAGACACTCCCCCTCTTGTTTATCCAAAGTAATAGCGAATATATACGATTTTATAGAAAAAGATGCTACACTTATTTAGTCATTCTACAAACACATATTGACTCCGAAGTTAACATACATGAGTAGAACATTTTGCAGAGAAGTGTCAGTGAAGGCTTCCCTGAAGGTGACCTGTAGGGAGGGAGTGGAGGGTGAAGAGGGGTGATGCAGGCAGTGGGCAGAGCACTTTGGGGGCCCCAAGCTGCAGAAGAATGGCTCCTTCCATAGCTGGCAGGCCTGTGCAGTGGGGCAGAGGCTTCCAGGGGGAGAAGATGGGGGATGGAGGGGTGGGGTGGATTCTCACCTCCAAGGTCAAAGTCATCACGACTTGAGCAGCAGAGACCAGACAGTGCTCCCTGTGGCCTGGCCTCCTGTCCTCAACTCCCCGGAGCCTCTCTTTCCTGTGCCTGCTGCCAGCAGGCCATGTAGAGGCCATAAGCCCCAGATGGAGGTGGCAGCCCATCCTCTCCTCCAGGGGTGTAAAGCAGAGGAAATGCAGCGTCTGTAGAAGACACTTGGCATGCTGTCCACTGCCCTGCAGGACTGAGCCACTCACCACCGCTGCAGGGAGTGCCGCAGGTGACTGCTCACAGCTGCCCATCTCCAAGCATTGCCAGGGGCCAAGCTACATCCAATGACTCTTTCTGGCCAAAGGCCCTGGTCTCAATTTGGGATGAGTCTGCATGGCTGTTGCAGCCCCAAAGCTCCCCATGGGATGGGCCGAGGCCTCTGGCAAATGTACCAGAACTTGACTTCTCCCTCAGCCTGGTCCTGTCTCTCCCTGGCTCACAGTCATTGCTCCAGAGTGCACTCTGCTATAAAGCCCCTGCACACAAATCTGTCTCAGAAGCCTTCTAGGGAGCCCAATCTAAGACATCCATTTGGGGGCAAACCACAGAGGCCTCAGCAGAAGGGAGCACTGGGATTGGTGTGGGGTAGGCAGGCTCAGCAACAATGGCCGGCGCTTTGTTGGTGGACTGAACCACGGGCGGCTGAGACGGGAAGGGGTGAAGATTTGTGGCAGGAGGGTGTGCGGCAGAACACCAGAGGTGCAGTGGCCCACGCCCTGCTGCTGAGTTGCACTACAGGTGCGTAGGTGCACAGACCAGCAAGAAAGGCTGCCAACCAGGGGCAAAGGGTGGGTGTGTCCAGGCCACCACCAGAAGCCCACAGAGTCTCTCATCAATGCAAAGGATGATCCTGACATCTCTATGTCTCCTAGGTTATTTCAGCAGAGTGGAGGACCCCTGAGGATTGAGGGCTGACAATCTCCCAAGAGTAAAGAGTGAAGAGTGTGTGGCACCAATGCAACCAGTGCCTGGATGAGAGGACATTCCTGCAGGAGAGGTGAGAGGCCCAGCCCAGAGTGAAATGACAACTGGTGATTTGAAAGGTGGTGATAGAGGTGATGATAGCTCAGTCCTTCAACTATTTGTTGAGAATATGGTCTATGCCAAGATGTGTCAAGTCCTGGGAACATAATGGTGGAACTGATCTTTCTGATAATAACTGTGGTTATGTTGAAGTTAGTGACCCAATAAAAGTGTTCCTGGTGATATTGATTTGATGATGGTGATAGTGGTGGTGGTAGCGATGATAACGATGGTGGTGATGGTGGTAATGTGATGGTGGCAATGGTGGTGGTAGTAATGGTGATGATGAGTGATGATAGGATGGTAGTGGTGGTGATGATAGCTCAGTCCTTCAACTATTTGTTGAGAATATGGTCTATGCCAAGATGTGTCAAGTCCTGGGAACATAATGGTGGAACTGATCTTTCTGATAATAACTGTGGTTATGTTGAAGTTAGTGACCCAATAAAAGTGTTCCTGGTGATATTGATTTGATGATGGTGATAGTGGTGGTGGTAGCGATGATAACGATGGTGGTGATGGTGGTAATGTGATGGTGGCAATGGTGGTGGTAGTAATGGTGATGATGAGTGATGATAGGATGGTAGTGGTGGTGATGATGATGGTGGTGATGGTGATGATGGTGGTGGTGATAGTGGTGGTAGGATGGTGATGGTAGGACAGTGGTGGTGGTGATGATGGTGGTGGTGAGGGTGATGATGGTGGTGGTATTGTGGTAATAGGATGGTGGTGGTAGTATGGTGGTGGTGGTGGTAACAGTAGGCATGGTGGTGATTACTATATAACGATGATAACGTTCTTGTGGAGGTGACTGTGTCGATGACACACTTGTGTGTCTGATGCCAAGTGCTCCCTGGACTTCTGTTTGCTCCTGGGCTCTTTTCCATCCCAGCTCTTCACCAGAGGGAGTTTTCATTTCCTGAGAGGGCGGCTGCTCTGATTGCATCAGTGACAAATGGAAGCTCGGGGAGTAGGAGGTAGGAGGATGGAAATCCTTATCTATTAATTGGTATTCAGCCTCTCCGGCCCCCTCTGGTAATGACCCTTCCAGTCTCTGCCGTTATCTCAGTGCCTCTTTGTTTACTGCTAAGTTGAGCTTAATCGGGCCATTAGCTCAGGCGCAATGTGGAGCCTCTCAGTCAGGATCCACTGGGAGAATGTCAGTGTCTCTGAGCAAAAGGAGGTGGTGGGGGGTGGGAAGAGGGGTGTCCAAGAGATCCCTCAGTGGTACCGGCAGAAGCTGGATCTGATGCTGAGGGTCAGCCACATGCACCAGGAATGGTAGTTGAGGGTGCTCTCTGCAATGTCCAGTGTCCAGGGCATGGACCGGAGGACTGAGACACACATAGACCCTCGCGTTCAGAGGTGACCCACAAGGATGGCCACCCCAGGCCTAGGGAGACCAGCAGTCATTGCTAAAGGGCTTGTTTCCAGACTCAGGAGCAAGGGATGAGAGTTAGGGCTGTAAAGGGAAAGGCTCTGCAGGGCTGGGAGCCAGAGAGATGGCCAAACTGGGATCCCCTGGGTGGACTGTGCAGGATGGTCCTAAGAGGAGGGCACATGGAACGTGGGTCCTGGAGCCATTATGAGAGCAACACCCCCACAGGGAAGTGTGAACTGCACACAGGGACCCTGTTCCTTAGGAGTGGGAGACACCACTCCTGGTTGGGGGGCGTGGCGGGGTGGCTGAGGGATCTGGATCTGATACTGGGTGTGATCTTCCAGCCGGAGAACAGTTAAAGGACAATTCTCATACTGCTGGAGGCAGCCAGCCCACATTGTCACCACAGCCAGGAGGATGGTGCCACCAAAGCCCCAGGGGTGGTGTCACGGGGCCATGCTAATGTGCAGGGGCTCAGCCTCACCCCCAGAGAGGCAGGTGAAGTACGGGGTTGCACCCCGATGTGTGTGGGGGCCAAAGCCACGCAGGTTCTCACCGGGTCCCTTTGTAGAATTCGTGTCTGGGTTTCCTTTTGGGACTGCCTATGCCCTCTTTTCATGCAAGCAAGTGCAGAGGCTGGGCCTGGGTGGCCTCCTGTTGGGAGAGTCCCCTTTCCCAGGGCGCCCACGTGGAACCCAGGAGGAAGCCTGGGGAATGCTGGCTTGCTTGGTTTTGCTGGGACTGCAGGGCACCATGTTGTTGTCCTTTGGTTTGACTCACCGTCAGAATAGCCACATCCCCAGGGCAGCCCAGCATGTCCCTTGCCAGGCTCCAGGAGTCGTGGTTGCTCACACGTGGCCCAGTCCTCCGAGGTTTGGGGCGGATGCCCCTGGCTTTTAATAGCGTGAGCATTTGCATGGGAAACTGAGGCAGGGCTGATGACGCAGGGATTTTGAGCTGATGTTAGCGTGATCTTCCAGCCTGTGACTAGTTAAAGGACAATTCTTAGACTGTGGGAGGCAGAGTGGATTCTCTATGCACGGACAACGTTATGAAAGCACAAAGCACATCTACACACTTTATCCTGCTGGATACAAAGCAGGAAGCAGCCTGCAGGCTGAGGCGGGACAGAGGCTGGGTGAATGAGCAAGGAGCACCCGAGAGAGGCTCGGCAGGGTCTCACTCCCCTGCTCTCAGACCCAGGCCGCTCACCCTGATGCTAACCACGCAGGCCACCCAGCTGAAAATGTGCCCAGGGATGGCCCAGAGTTTCCAGTCTGAGGGGCTTGGGTTCCAACCCCAGCTCCATTTCTGTGACCTGTATCCACATATTCACACATGAGCAAACATTAGGGGAGCGCTGCTGTGTACCGGCCATGAGCTGAGCCTGGCACGGCATGGTGAGGAAGCCGGCATGGCTCCTGCCCTGGCAGGGTGGAAGTCCAGCGGGGACAGTGGTAAAGCAGGTGAGCGAGGATGTGGTTGTGCAGTTGCTCATGGCGATAGCAGCATCAAAAGAGATGGTGCAGAGAGCTCTGGGAAGGGCTCTCCCAGGAGGGAGATTCCTGCCAGGCAGGGGAAAGGCAGGAAGTTGCTGGCTGAGTGGGGCCCAGCAGTCTATGGCCTGCGACAGATGCCACCCCTTATGCAGTGGGTGGAGCAGGTGGACGGTGGCTGCCCAATAGAGCCAGTGGGGGGCAAATGAGACCTGCCCATGCTCTGTTGGTCCCAGCTCCGTCACAGTCTCGGCTCAACGCAGACAACGGTTCCTTCCTTCCTTCCTACTGCATCGCCCATCTGGCGAACCTGCCTTGATGAAAGGTGACTTGAAGGTGGTAATGCCTTAACCCACAGGGAGGAGCGGGTAACGATGGCGTTCCATCCAGTGTTGCCAGTGCCAATGTGGGGCCGCAAGGGGTGGCGCTTGGCCCCACCGCAGCCGCTGTTGCTCCAGAGGGCAGTCCTCAGCCCAGAAGGCTGGATTGAGTCTGGGAGACCCCAAAGAGCCGTGGGCAGCCGGCAGAAGCAGGAGGCCTGGGGAAAGGGACAGCTGTGCATTGGATTCCAGTGGCTGCGGCAGGACGCAGGAGGAAACCCTCACTTGTATGGGAAGCGCCAGGGGCAGCTGTCATTGCAGAGAATGAATTGTCAAGGAAACAGCCCTGTCCTGTCACATGGCAGAGGGAGGGCACCGTCAGTTGTTGTAAGCACAGGGAATTGGACTGGAAAGAAGTGCTGGACAAGCTTTTGTGCTGTCATTGTCACCTTTGTCGTCACTGCTATCACCATTTTCAGTCACCAAATGGCCCCTGGACTGTCACTGTCACCACAAAAGCCAGCCGTAGCTATGCTGTTATTATTACCACCTTTCCTGTATTCCATACTTTCCATCTACCCATCCATCCATCCATCCACCTGTTCACCTATCCACCCATCCACCTGTTCATCCATCCATCCATCTAACTGTTCACCCACCCATCCAGCCATCCACCTATCCACCCATCCATTCATCCAACCACCTGTTCACCCACCCATATTTCCACCCATCCATCCATCTATCCATCCATCCACCTGTTCACCTATCCACCCATCCATCCATCCACCCACCCACTCATCCATCCACCTATCCACCCCATCCATCCATCCATCCATCCATCCATCTATCCATCCATCCATCCATCCACCCACCCACCCACCTGTTCATCTATCCACTCATCCACCCATCCATCCACCTGTTCAACCACCCATTCATCCACCCATCCATCCTTCCACCTGTTCACCCACCCATCCATCCACCCATCCAACCATTCATCCATCCACCCATCTATCCATCCACCCATCCATCCACCTGTTCACTCACCCACCCATCCATCCATTCACCCATCCATCCACCCACTCATCCATCCACTCATCTGTCCAGCCATCTATCACTCCATCTGTCCATCCATAGGTCCATCTTCCCATCTATCCATCCATCAGGACCCTCTCTGAGCACTCCATCTCTGACTCTGTGGCTGGCACTAGAATAGGTGCTGGTTACACTGTGAGCCAAACAAGGTCCCCAGCTCTGGTGGGGCTCACAGTCCCCTGGGGTAGACTTTGACAGAGAAGATACAAGTGAGGTCTCTCAACAAGATGATTCAGAGGGTGACGAGTACTTCACGAAACTGCACAAAACCCAGAGTGAAGGGTGGGGTGGGTGCCCGTGCAGGCAGGGTGGTCGGCACAGCCTCTCCAGGCATGCCATTGAGCTGAGACCCGGAGAGTGGGAAGGTTTCAAGAAGGAGCCTTCCAGGAATGGGAAACAGCAGGAGAAGGGACCTCAGGTGAAGGGGACAGATGGTGTGGGGTGTGAGGCATGGATGGGCCAGTGGGGCTGAAACCAGCAAGGGGGACAGTGGTAGCCAAGGAGCTGACTCAGCCAAGCTAGCAGGGACCGGGGCTGTGGGTGTGCAGGGGGCTCATGGACCATGGGAACAGGGGTGCTTCTAAGTGTGATGGGATGCCTCTGAGGGGCTTAGCTTAACAAGAAAAATACTGACAACAATAAGCTCCAGAAAGCCGGAAAGGGTTTTATGACAAACCCTCATGTTCCTGCCTCCCCAAGTGAAAAATCCCTTCCGGGAGGCAGCCCACCGTCATGAATGAGGGAGTAATTAGTCCACGTTTTAGACCTCTTCTGCATAGGACCTCCATAAACAATATGTTCTATTGTACTGTGTGTTTAAGAATTTACATAAATGGGATTATGGTATAAGTAATGTATTACAATTTCTCTTTTTACTCAACATTTTATTTTTAAGATCCATCCATGGTGACAATCTAAGTCTATTTTATATGTTTTTAAGTTCTGTAGTGTATTCCATCATGTGAAAATATTTAAATGTATGTATTCATTTCCATTCTGATGGGCATTTGGCTTGTTTCCAGTGTTTTCTATTACAAATAAAGTCATGGTGAAAATAGCCGTCATCTATTAGGCTCATTGCTTGTCACCGGCTGTTCTAGTAATTTTATATACATCCTCTCACGGAACTCACCTAATGACATTTGAGGGGGAAGTGCCCATTTTCCAATTAAGGAAACTGAGGCACAGAGAAAGCACATGGCCTGCCTAGGGTGATCAGCTGGGAGACACCCTGGGAGGCCCGTCCTGGGGTTTGGGGCCTTGGCTCTGATGCCATGCCACCTTGCATCCCTGACTTCTATAGGGCACATGCGTGAGAGGGAATGTGCAGGGTCTAGACTCACCTGTTCTCAACTCGATTTCCCTAGATGGTCTCCCAAAGGATCATGTTCTAAATTGCTCACATCAACAGTGTGTGCAACTTTTTATGCTTGGAATTGTCAATCTTCTAGATGCTTACCATTCTGATGGATGTGGAATGATATTCTAGGGAATATTGACATAAGCATCACATGTTAGTGAACATGTTCTCCTACCTATTCATGATGTAGATTTCCTCTTTGGGGAGTTGCCTGTTCAGATGCTTTGCATGTTTTTTCTTTGGGTTGTCACCTTATTGGTTTGTAGATACTCTTTATATATTATGGCTATCAATCCATTATTTGCTGCATGTTGCAAAAATCTGCCTCACAAAGTCACTTATCTTTTAATTATGTTTATGGGCCTTTTTCATACAGAAGTTACAAATTTTGATAATTCAAACTGATCATTTTTCTCTTTATGTCTTTAATTTTAAAACCCTTTTTTTACCCTGAGATCATAGAAAAGTTTTCTGTGCTTTAATTGGTTAAACGTGTTTTATCACATTTGGATCACACCTGGATTTTTCTTTTCTTCCATGTGCACAGTCAACTACTCAAGTGCGACTCACACTTGGGCATTAAATTGAAGATGATATGGGCAGTTGCGAACATTCTCCTTTTACTCCTCACTAATGGAAATGCTTCTAAAGTTTCATCAGTAAGCGTGGGGCTTCCTGTAGGTTAAGCCAGAAATTCTAAGCACCGTCGTCACCGCTGTCAACATCGTGAAAATGCTTTCTAAGTATCCATGTGGCCTGGACTCCTAGGGCTCTGAGCCTTCTTGCATGAAGCCCACCCAAGCAGGAGACTGCAGCCCAGGCCCAGGGGTACAGAAGGGATGGGCAAGGGGGCTTAAAAGATGAGGCTAAACCCAGAGGGGTGAGTGTGGCACAACCTGGGGGTGAGTGTGGCAGAGAGGGAAGGCCTGTGTCCACGGGGAGAGGGCAGAGGGTGGAGACCTGCCCGTGCTGGCACATGAGGAGAGAGGAGGGCAGTGAACAGCATAAATCTGGGGCTAAGTCTGCCTCCTGCCTCTGCTACTAACAGTCAGCCTCACACAAGTTACTTGGCCTCCTCAGGCCTCCGTTTCCTCCTGCGTAAAATGGGGCACGCAGCAGCTCCTTCCCAGCATCCTTCGAGGACTGAGTTAAGTGCTGTGAGCAGAGCCTGGTGCAGGGTGTGGGCCGGGCCGGGTGCTGCTGCTGCTGCTGCCGCTGCCGACTCAGTTGCTGCGGGTGGCAGGTGTGGCTGTGATTGGTGTTGAGGTAAACGCGGCTGCAGCACCGTCCATCCTGTATGCCCCGGTTGACCCAGTCTAAGGCATTCAGGCCCTGCCACAGGTCCCAGATGTGTCAGGACATTGGTAGAGGAGAGCTGGGAGGACTCCAGGGCTGTGCCTGCCCTCCTGGCATGCTGAGCACCAGCGCAGAGCCCCGGACCTGACAGCGCTGCTGATGGACATGGCTGGGGGCCAGCCTGCCTGGGTTCGATCTGAGTCACTGAGCCATCCGTTCCAGGATTCCACAGATGGTGAGGAAAGAGGCCTTCGGGGTAGGGTTTCCACATGAAAACAGGAGGCCCAGCTAAATTTTAATCTCAGCTAAATAGTGAACACTAATTTTTTTAGCATAAGTATGTCCCAATTATTGCACCAGACATACATGTCCTAAAAACATGTTGTTTATATGGAATTCAAGTTTGGATGAATTGAAATGTACCTACGTTTAGCTGGTGCTCAATATCTTTTAGTTACTAAATATGGGGCCCTATTTGGGGGAAGAGCATGGACAGGACCTAGAGAGGGTCTGTGGTCTGCTAAGGTTGGAAACAGGGCTGCAGGTGGGGAAATCAAGGCAGACCCTCTGGAAGGGGAACGGGTCTAGCCACGAGGTACCAGCATAACTACGAGGTGGGGGGCACGTATTATGGGGAGGCTTCAGGGTGTGGGGCCTGGGCCTGCATCCTGTCACCCTATTGACCCTAAGGCCTTGGAAAATCACTCTCTCGGCCTCCCTTTCCTCAGCTGTAAATAACGGGGCTCATCCTCGTGCCCCTCGCACTCAGGGCTGCGTCTGAGGTGGACCCCACAGGGGAAGAGTCTGTAGCAGGAGGCGGAGTGATGGATGCCAATGTCCAGACAGACAGGATGGGAGCTCAGAGAAAGAAGTCTGCCTGCTGGGTGGATGTGAGGGCTTCCAGGGGGTGGTGACCTGGAGCTGGGCCCGGCAGGCTGAGCCAAGCTTTCTAAGCAGAAGCCCCCGAGAGCAGCACCAGGCGGTGTTAGGTTCAGATGGCCCCTCCTGGTCCCTCCTGTCACCCTGCCCAGCAGGGAACACGGTTGTCCCCCCAGCTCCCACAATGGCTGCTGATGTGCTGGAATCATCGAACACCACGATTTTTTAGCTCCTCTGCGTGAGTGGCTTTGGCCTGGGGGCAGGGGCTCAGCTAAGGGGGAGGGCAGGGGAGAGACGGACGCCGATCAGCAGCCACAGGGCTGCCCTCCTCCCCTGCAAGTGCCCAGGGCTTGGAACCATCCAAGAGCTTCCTGCGGCTACCCCCTCTGATCTGTGAGTGTCCTGGCTTTGCCAACAGCCAGTGGCCCTCCCGAGAGCTGGTAAGGACTAGAAAGAAAGCCACAGAGCCCTAGGCCTGCTCGGCCCCTCATCATTTAGCACTGGGCTCATTCTGCGGCCGCCTGAAGGGCCTGCAAGCCCAGGGAAGCTGGTCCCATCCTCCAGGACGGCTTCTCCTCCGTGAGCTCTGCGGGCGCGGGTGCTGCCACAGCTGCTGGGGACTCGCTGCTTTGAATCATCCTGGCTGGAGGGGAGGAAGCAGCCTCCTCAGAGCTGGGGCTGGCGACAGATTTCTCCTAATTGGCTTCTGAGCTTAGAGACTGACTCTCACAGCAGCGGTGACCGGTGACCGTGAGTCAGATGGGCAGAGAACAGAGAGGGAGGGAGGGAGGCATCCAGCAGTGCCAGAGAGGGGCTTGCAGCACTCAGGCCACCCTCGCTGCTGCAATGGGAGCCAGCAGGGCAAGGTCACAGGCGAGTAGGTGACGGCATGGAGCCAGAGGCTGGGCCAGCTGCAGCGCCGGCCAAGAGGAGTGGGGCCAGCCCTGATCTGGAGCCCTAGAGCGAGGTCAGGCTTCTGGGCCAGTCCTGTCCTTACGCCATGACCAAGTCCTGATATCCCGTGGCTCCGACCCTTGCTCCCACCACGTGGGCTGATCGTGAGATGTTTCTCGGTCACCTGCCTGGGATCCTTGACCTTGACGTAGGTAAATGAAGACCAAGTCTTACATCTCAGCTTTGCATCATCCCTGCCTCCTCGAGAGCCCAGCTCCTTGGAGGTCCATGTGCTCCCTGCCCCAATCCACTAACCCTCTGCTCCATGCATTTGTGGGGGCCGTCAGACACTCCGTGCTGATGGGACATTCTAGAAAAAGCCCCTCCAACACTGTTTCCTGATGCTCACCAGCCGTCTGCTTCCTCCACCCGCATCCCCAGAAAGGAGGCGACTGGTGTGGGGTTCCAGCCCCACAGACCTCAGGGCCAGGCTGTACTGAGACATGCTTTCTGGCAGAGCATAGGGTCCTGACCCAGGTTGCAGGCCGAGGTTTCCATGGTGAAGCACATGGCCCGGCCTCCTTCCTTCCCTGCTCAGCTCTCCTCTCCCTGTCTGCAGGGGCTGCTCCCCGCTTCCTCCCTTCCCTTCTTCTCCTCTTCCCCTCTCCCCTCCGTGCTCCACGCCCACAGAAGTTGCTTGACACACAGTCAAGGTCTAACGACGCTGACTCAGCCCCGCTGGCCCAGCCACCCCCTCCCCAGCATGGCGCAGCTCATTTCAGCCCCATGCCCCTGGGAGGCTGACTCACACGACTTCACTCACCCATAATGGGCTTGTGATGGTCGACGGGCCTGGCAGGGAAACAGGCCCTGTGTTCCTGAGATGACACGCAAATGCCTCCTGCGCGAGGACAGATGTTTGTCATTAGCCAAGATGGGACTGCACGCTACCCTCCTGCACAGCTGGACAGTGTGGTCCAGCGGCCTCGGTGAGGTCGGGTGTCAGGCTGTTGTCTCGGGTGTGACCCGCTCTGAGGCTTCTCCAGGGATCAGAGGGCAAGGGCTGAATGCCAGGAAGTGCAGGGCAGGCATGGCCAGGGCAGAGGTGCCCTCTGCTGTGCCCTCCTCTTCCTACATCCAAATCCTTCCCTTCCTGGGGCTTTGACCTCCTCCTGCAGGCCTGACCTCCTCATCCTGGGACCTGTGGAGAGGGCAGTGTGGCATTTGAAGTGCTTTTCAAGGATCTTTTGGTTTCAAGGGACAGAAACCCATCTCAACTGGCTCAAGCAAAAGAGGGAAGTCCCGGGCACCCCAACATTATCGTCGCTGCCTTCTGTCTCTTCTTTCATCTTCCCTTTGAGAGGCCGCCATTCTCTGGCAGGCTGGGCCACACCTGGCTTATACCCAAGGATATAGCCAGCACAAGGCGAAGAGGTTTCCTCTCCCCTGACACTTCCAGGGAAAGTCCCCAAATGGAGTCCCATGATCACCTCCAAACCAATCACTGAGTCCAGAGGAGAGGCTCTGCTGATGGGCCAGGCAGGGCTGCGTGCTCATGCACAGGTGGGGCCTGGGGGCATGGCAACATTATACACCACCACGGGGACGGAGCCGGGAAGAGAAGGCTCCCCCAGGAAGTGCTGGGTGCCACCCCAGAGGGGGATGGAGGCTGGGCATGCAAGAGGCCGAGACCTCTACTGCCCAGCTCCTATCTGGCTCTGACTTCAGTTAGCTGCCCTGAGCCCCCTCCTTGTGTCTCTGTGCCCTCCTTTCAGAAATGGAGCTCAGGCCAGGCTTTCCTCGCCATGTTATCAAGAACACAAATGAAAATATGTGCAACATGTGCCTTGCAGGCTGTAGCATGCAGATGTTACACGTGCCTTGCACACTCTAGCATGTAGACGTTACATGCGCCTTGCAGGCTCTCGAATGCAGATGTTACATGCGCCTTGCACGCTCTAGCATGCAGACCTTGTAATAAGATCGGGGTAAGCAATGACAGGAAGAGCAGTAATTCTAGGTGTCCTATGGTGATTCTGAAATGTAAAATCGTGTTAATTTGGCAAAGACAATTGAAACCTAGAATATCATCCGTGGATGGAAAGTCACTCCCCCACACACAGCATACAGGAACTGGGAGAGTGTGGGGGTGGGAATGAGCGCTCTCCCTTCCCTGGTGTGGAAGAGGGAGGCAGAGGTTCAGAGAAGTCCTGAGTGGGTCTGACTGTCCCCAGGCCACCCTGCTCCACCTGCCGCTGCCGCCCCGCTGGCTGGGCCCCTGCTGAGCTTGAGGCCTGGTTTCAGCAAGCTGCCTCGCATGCACTTCATCCTTACTCGTTCAGTCTGCACATCAAGCCTGTCGGGTGCGTATGAATGTCAGCCCACTTTACAGACGTGGAAACTGTTTTGCTGCGCCAGCCACTTCTAGAGGGTACCTTCCTCAGCGGGACCACTGCGGTCACCGGCCACATGGTCAGCTTTAGGCACCACTGTCAGAGGCTGTTAGAATAGGCACAGCTGGGTCTGTGACCCAGGAGCTGTGTAACCTTGCCTAAGTTACCTGACCTCTCTGAATGTCAAGTTCCGATCAGTAGAGGGCGAGTGATGCAGCTGGCATCTCAGGCCCCCTATGGGTGCTGTGGGAACAGCCAGCAAGACTGCCTGCCAATGAGAGATGGTGGTGGAGTGGGATGAGGCCCCACAACTCCACGCTGTCTAGGTGGGGGGGTGCAGAGGGCTGGGAAGCACTGGAGGGTCCCAGGGCAGGGGTAGCCACACTCATGCAGGGCTGCCAGGAGGAGGCTGCTGGGGGGACAGGCTGAGGGGACAAGCCAAGGGGACAGGCCAAGTGGACAGGCTGAGTGGATAGGCTGAGGGGACAGACCTGGTGGACAGGCGGGGTGGACAGGCCAAAAGGACAGGCTGAGGGTACAGGCCAATGAGACAGGCCTGGTGGACAGGCTGAGGGGCCAGGCTGAGGGGACAGACATGGTGGACAGGCTGGGTGGGCAGGCCGAGTGGACAGGCTGAGGGGACAGGCCAGGTGGACAGGCCAAGGGAACAGGCAAGGGGACAGGCCAGGTGACAGGCTGAGTGGACAGGCCGAGGGGACAGGCCGAGGGGCAGGCAAGGGGACATGCCGAAGGGAGAGGCTGACAGGACATGACAGGTGGTCAGGCCGAGGGGACAGGCTGACAAGACAGGCCAAGGGGACAGGCTGAGGGGATAGGCCAGGTGGTCAGGCCGAATGGACAGGTTGGGTTGTCAGGCTGAGAGGACAGGCTTGGTGGACAGGCCGAGAAGACAGGCAGACGGGACAGGCCTAGGGGTCAGGCCATCTCAGGGAGTGGTGGCGGGGATATTTGTGCAAACGCTCAGAGGCCAAGAAACACACTGGTGGGTGGTGGGAGCTAGAGAGCCACCTGGCATGGCTGGGGCATGAGGCTCAAGGAGGGTGCAGGAGGTGGGCCATTAGATTCTGGCCACAGGGTGGGAGCCATCTATGCCAAGGGCAGTAGTGAAGATTGGATGTGTGAGTCACTGGGGGCCCATAAGGGGCTTAACTTGGGAAGCGCATAGCCAGGTGGGTGTGTTAGGGACAGCAGGGACTGGCAGGGTACTGGGAGGGGGTGTGCCTTGAGGCGGGGCGACAGAGAGGCTGTGGCTATGTCCAGAATGGGGCCAGCACCACAGCAGAGGTCTTGGGGGTGGAGGCAGGGATGCACTGGGTGGGATCCCAGGAAAGGACTTCCCAATGCTGCACCTGTAGTCTGTCCCGGTTCTGTAAATGTAGTGGGGAGTCCCAAGGACGAGTGCTCTATCCAGGCTTGTGCCTCTGCTGGGGGCTGGGGATATGGGTTGGGGCTGTGGTGGGGACATCTCAGTGGGTGAGCCTAGAAAGAAAAGGGCTGCAGGAGGGACTCACACAGAGGAGCCCACAGAACCTGTCCCCCTGGGGGCCTTCGGGGCCCAGAGGTCCCTGCCTAGCCAAGTTATTAACAGCATTGGTGGCTGTGGGTGGCATGGCCTGGGCAGGGTCCCCTCTGACTCATGCTGTGCCCTGAGAGGGTTCCCTTTCTGAAGAGCCCACAGGTGGGCAGGCAGGCTGGCTCCCTGGACAGCCTCGGAAGGGGTGGGCTCCACTCACTCTGCCCTGCTCCCCTCGGCCACCCGGAAAGGCATCCAGGCCTGTGATTCTGGTCCTGAGGCATCACCAGCCTGGTGTGTGTGTTCCTGCGGGAATGAAGAAGGCAGGCGCCTGGAGCCCAGCACATCTGCTGTGGGGGGGACCTCCCTGTCCCCTGATGAGCTGGGCACAGGGGGAACCCAGGTTCTGCTCAGTCCTCCCACCTGGCCTCCGGTGCCATCCACACTGCCCCTCTGCCTCCTCCCCGGCTGCATGGACTGCACCTTGCCTGAGTGGTCTCCAGAGGTACCTCAAACCCTCTCTGCATCTACTGCACCCTGCCACCCTCCTCGGCATTCTGTCTGGAGCAGAGCTGCTGCCTCACAGTCCTGGGAAGGATTCACAGGCCTGATGGGCCCATTTCACAGATGAAGACACTGAGACTCAGATGGGTGGGTGCCAGGGTGGCCTGAGGTCCCTTAGCTCATGAGGGCCCTGGCTTGGGCTCCAGGGTGCCATCCTTCCCAAACCCGTGGTCCACTATGGGGTGTGTGGTGCTTGTGGGGCAGGGCCGGGCTGTGAGACCAGACCGGCACATGGAGTCACGTTCTCACCCTGTGCTCCATGGAGCCCCCAGGTCCACAGTGGGCCGGGTGTGGGTGGTGTCAGGCCTGTGGGATGGTGGAGGCCAGTGGGACCCAGAATCCCATCCCCACAGCCCCTTCTGATTCGTGGGTGGTCCTGGGCTTCCTTGGAACAAAGGATTCCAGGCTCAGACACATCTGAAAGCCAGAGTAGGGTCTCCCGGGACCTCCTAGAGGGCAGTCTGTTTGTGGGGGCTCAGAAGGCTGGGCGTGAGCCCTGGTGGGATCTGAAAGCATCACCTCCAGCAGAGCGAGAGTGCCTGTCCCACACTGGTACTGCCTGGACTTGGGATCTGAAGCTGGGAGAGGGAAGCATTTGAGACCACCAAGACCAGCATGCCAGCTGTAAGCTCTGCTCCACTGCGAGAGGCAGGGGAGCCTGCAAGACACACTGGCTCCCGGAGAGGTTTCTGTACTGAGCAAGAGGCTTGGGCTGCAGGCTCCTCTCCCTCTGATGCCCCCCAGATGATACGGTTTCTGCAGCTCACTGGTGTTTCAAATTCTGAGGTTTAATAAGCTAAGATGCCAGGCTTCTAAGACAGTGTCAAAGATAAGATTTACCTATTTCACCCTAAACTTAATCAGAATAAAATTTGAGGTGATTTCTAAGAGTCTAAGCTTCTAAAAGGACGCATCCTTAAAATTCTAACACCCTAAGCTGATTTGTGGAGAAGATTGGATGATTCCATGCTTCTGAAAGCCTATGCTTCTGAGAGTCTGTGCTTTTAAGAGTCCAATATTCTCTAATTCTGTGTCTTCCATGAGGCCCGAGTGGCCAAGCATGGCTTAGGCGCTGAATGGCGACAATGCCCCCGCTGATGGGAGCTGCTGCTAATCTTCCCTTTGAGGGGCTTTGATGAGCTCTGGAGGCAGACGGGCGGCGTCTGAGCACAGCTGCTTCCATCAGAGGGGAATTTTGCTGAGCATCGGGGATTCGGAGGCTCAGGAGAGGAGCTAATAGCAGCTGCTTCTGGAGGGCGATTAGAATCTGGGGAGGAGAGAAGGCGTTAATAAAGCCAAGTGTAAAGCGCAAGGAGACACAGCCCCCAGAAAAATTAGCCACTGAAAAAGCCTCTGTGCCATATGAGTGCACAACACATTTCCCTCATTCCTACGAGGGTCCCTGCCATCTCCCTCCCAGGCCACTTGCCCCTGAGACCCCTCCTGCAGAGTTAAATCCCATGTCCCCATAATGATTATCCTTTAGACTGGCAGACTGACACCTCTGGGAAGCCTTCGGCAGAGGGACAGCTTGGGGAAGAGTGCCCCTGCAAAAACTCTCCCTCTCCAGCCAGCAGTGCCTTGGGTCAGGACTTGGGAGATGAGCCTCTGTGTGTCCCAGGAGGGTCAAGTGTGGGTGTGAGAGGACTGAGGGAGGGACAGAGTTAGGGGCTTCCAGATATGGCTCAGCAATGTTTCTCCAGGCTGGGGTTCAGTGCCAACATCTCTCTTTTCATGCATGCTTTCACTTATTCATTCTTGCACTCATTCATTCATGCATTCATTCAACACCAGTGCTGGGCCAGGAACTGTGCCAGGATATCGAGATCAAGATGCCAGCAACATACCTCACAGTGCTCAGAATGTCAGCGTGTCCCAGGTGTGGTGCAGGCAGAGAGCAGGAGATGGTTCTGTTTTGCCGAAGGACCTGTGGACCCTGAAGCCTGGGCTGGAACACACTGCAAGGTCACACTGGCTGGGGGGCATCTCTGTATCCTGAGGCACCATTGCAGCCCGGAGCCTTTCCACCAAGAGTCTCATGAGGGTAGGAAGCAATGAGTGGGCTGTCCTGGCTTGCCTGCTGGCCAGGCTTCCCGCCCCATTGGTCCCTCCTCTCCCAGCTGCAGCCTCTGCCCGGGGCCTTACCCAGGAGAGATTTAAGGACTTGAAGCATGCCCTGTGGACTCCTCAAGATCAAGGATCACGCTCCAGCATCATTCCTGGCCCTAGTAAATGTTGGAGGGTGTGAGACAGCTCCTTCCTGCCCTGTGGCCCTGGGCTTCACTGCTGCTGATGGGACTTTGGCCTTGCTCCCTGTGAGGCCCACAGACCCCAGTCTCTGCTGTGGTTTGGATGTGGTTTGCCCCCACGAGACCCAGGCCGAAGTTTAGTTGCCCATGGCAGTGTTGGGAGGAGAGGCCTAGCAGGAAGTGATGGGGTCATGGGGGTGGATGCCTCCTGAATGGACTGGTGCCATCTGGGGCGTAAGCTCTCACTCTCAGGATGGGGCGAGTTCCTTCTTGTGTTTGGTGCCTTTGCACACCACATTCCTTCCACTTTCCCTCATAAGTTGAAGAGCACCAAGCCCTCAAGGACGAGTTGCCTGGTCTTGGACTTCACAGCCTCCAGAATCATGGGCCAAATAAACTTTTCTGTATCAATTACACAGCCTTAGGTATTTTGTTACAGCAAAACACTAAATAGACTAAGACAGCTTCCCTCTGCCAACTTGGCCCTGGCCTTGTGACTCTGTGGGGTCTAGGTGGCACCTGGTGTGTGAATACCTCTACCTTGCTGGGCCCCCCTGAGCCTTTGCTGCCATGATGTACCCACAGCCCAAACCCTGCTGGCTTGGACCTGGCCTGCTGGTCACCATGTCCCTTGGGTCTGGCATCTTCTTCTCCCTAATGGGCATTCCCCCAGCCTCTGAGGCTTCATCAGATGATTTTCCAGAGTTGGGTGAGCCCTGGCCAGCTTCCCACCTGTATCTAGAAAGGTGGGAGGCTCCCTGCCCTTGGGCCTTCACCCACCAGAGAACAAAACTCTTGAGTCTGCCCTGGCCTTTGTCCCCTCCCCTTCCCTCCTGTCTCTTCTATCATGAGGTCAAATGGCTGGGTGAGGTGCAGATGGGGTAGGCCACTTATTCAGGGACTATGTGGTCCTAGGGGTATAGGCACCTGGTCCTCAGACCCTCAGCATGGGAGGGGTGGTGGAAACCATCTGGCCAGGCTGTTTACCCGACAAAGGAGTTGGCTTTTTACCATGACAGGCCTGCTGGCTGGCTTACTGTAACTTCTGATGGGGCCAGGAGTTCAACCTGCAGGACTGTCCTTTCCAGGGTGAAGAGCCTTGGCCCGAGGGAAGTCTGGAGCATATGACACTGGCCTCCGCTACTGGCCTGATGCTGCCCGAGAGGGAGACGATGATGAGTGGCAGGTGTCACATGGGGTTGTGGTGCAGTAGGGCACGCAGCAACCCTACAGCTCATAACCAAAGCAATGGCTCTGTCCTTGGCAGCACTCAGTCCTAGAAGCCTGGCCAGTCCTCTCAGCAGCACACTGGCAAGGGCAAAGGGTGCGTGCTCTGAGCAATGTGAGCAGAGAGGGAGAGGGTTCAAGTGCCCCATCCTAACCCTGCAGGCCTGGGGTGGGGGCGTTGACGAGAGGGATGGCTTAGGTTTGCTGACTCCAGCATCGGAGAAGCATCCAAGCCTTTGGTCATCATCCTATCTCCCATCCAGGACAGGACAAAGGAGAAATCAGTGCCTCCGTGGAGCTTGAGCTCACCTCTGAGGGCACTGGGGATTGGGGCCAGAGCCCCCATCTTTCTGCCCAAACAGTTCCAGAGGCAGGGACTCCTTCCAGATGTGAAATGTGCTGCCCAGGTGGACGGATTCCCCGCATGTTGCTTGCATCTTGTTCCACAGAGCAGGCTGTCCCTTCTTGAACAAAAGAGCCCTTCAGAGGCTGGAGAGGAGCCTCAGACCCCTCAGCCCCACCCTCTCCACGCCTCCCTCCTCCAGGTGACAGGTTTTGAGTAGAGTGTGGGTAGCTGGAGCTGGGGGAGCGGCTGCTTAAGATGCACTCTGGGCACTGGGCTTTCTAATTCCCTCTCTGAGGCCTGTGCGGCCGAGATTGAAGAGCAGGTGTTTCCAATTAAATGGGGCCTTTCAATCTCTCCCTGGGCTGCGACTCCGTGCAGGCTCATTCATTGGCCCTGAACTCGGCTGTATGCAGAATTTCTCTGGGCGGGTGGCTTCAGCAGGCTGAGGCTGCAGAATCCTGAATTTCAAAGGCAGTTCTGCCCTCTTCTCCACAGCCCCAGTGTGAGCATGCCCAGCTGGTCCAGTGTGCAGGAAATCTCCTTCCCCAGGGTTACCCGGTGGGTCTTGGTACAGGTCACCCTGACAGGTCTGAGATGCCAGGGAATCCAGTGGCACAGGGAATCACTGCCAGCGGCTCTCAGAGGGCTCATGCTTTATGGCTACATCTGGCCCCGAGAAATGGGCTCTGGAGGAGGGGAGCAGGCAGCAGGCAGGCCCTGCAGCAGCAGGGGAGCAGCCCGGTGAATTTACAGCCCTTGCAGTCTGGGTTTCCCAGCTCAGCTGTCAGGGCCTGTCAGACTTAGCACCTTTCAGAATGGGAGGCGGGAGGAGGGGTGCACACAGCAGAAGGCTGGCTGGTGCCCTGCCAGAAGCCGGGACTGCAAACACAGAGGCACAGAGTCCATAATGAAGGTCATCAGGAGGTTTTAGGATTTATTTGGCATTCCTGTGCCAGGTACTGAAATACAATAGCACATGTGGAAGGAGTGTGTCTGGGGGCCTGACCAGGGCAAGGCTCAGTAGCCACTGATGCTCGAGCTTGCCTCACAGCTTAGTATCGTGATTAGGATTGGCCTCAGGACCAGCGTGGAGATGCTAGAGCTGGACAGTCTTGCTCCCGTTTCACAGGAGAGGGTGGTGGGGGTGCGGGTGGGGTTGGCACACTTGTGCTTTCTCAAGGTCACGTTGTGGATGCTGTAAAACCAGGGTATGGGGGAGACTGTCTTTGGCCCTGGAAAGGCTGGGACCTGCCCATGGGCGAGGTCCCATGTGGCCACTGGGGACTATTGGTTCCTACCCCACCGTCCCTCTGCTGGGTTCCCCACCCTGCAGACGTGGGCTCAGCCCCTCAGCATCATGCCCAGGTATTCAGTCAATCCTGTGATTATCACTGGGCTCTGTGGTTGGCAGAGAGAGGGAGGTCATTCTGCCTCCCTGCCCCCCCAGTGGAGGTGGGAGCGAGCTGACCGTGGCCCACAGTGGAGAGCAGCTGCAGCGGGGCACACTACTGTCTGGATGGCCAGATCTGGGAGGCTTCTCAGGAGGAGTATTTTAAAGGGCTCTTGAGGAGTGGGTAGAAATTCCATGACCCAAGGAAGGGAAGGGGGTTCCTGTGGGAAGGCAGGGGAGGCAGGGGAGCCCTGGAGAGACGAGGCGGGGCAGGTGGGAGGGAGCTAGAGTGCGGGTCCTCACACACTGTGCTCAGTGAGCACAGGGCAGTGAGACTCCATTCAACCTCCGGGGTGGGTGCCTAAGGGCCACAAGGTCAAAGGTGAGCTTGCATCTGTCTCCAGGCAGCCCTGGGGGCTTGGGCGGCAGGAAGGCGGGAGGTCAATACAATAGCCCTGGTGGGACCCGGGAGGTGTCCTTGAAGGTTATCTGGGAGCCAGAATGAGGAGACTTGGCCCAGGGCCTCTGTAGCCCACCCCGAGCAGCTGATGGGGAGGGGAGTGAGGAGGCAGCTGTGGTTCTCACCCTTCACCGTGGCTGGAGGGTCTGGGTGGGAAGGGGGTGCAGGGAACAGGCATATTACACTCTGAATGCGGAGCGGGAAACATGGAAGGATTCATTGTCGGGAGACTGGGGAGGGATGGGCTCTGCTGGTGAAGGGCTTTGAATGCGCACTGGAGAGTTTTGGTTTTATTCTTCTTGAATTTCCTTCTTCTAAACAGGGACAGACTTGGGGTCTCTGAGCATGAGCTGGGTGGAGGACTGTACCTGGGCTAGGCCAGGGTTAACTGCCCACAGTGGCAGCCTGATTCGTCCCAGAGGGGCTCACTCAGCAGGCTGGAGCTCTGTCCAGGCAAGAGGCGAAGAGGGGAAGAGCGGGGCTTGGGGGATGCGAGAGGAACGGGAAGGCACCTGGCTACTGCAGACACTGAACCTTCTGGTCTTATGGCCTGGGAGTGTGGGGGAGGCTGCAGGGTGGATGACCAGAGCCCGGGGATGGATGGAGCCTGGGGAAGAGCTGCTCTGAGTGTGTGGGGGAGTGGGGAGGGGCTGAGGGAGGGGCCACAGCTGGCCACCACTTTCCACCTTCCACTTTCCACGGCTCCTTCAAGGCTCCTGCTTGGGGGAAGCCCAGCAGGTGTCACAAGGCCAGAGCCTGGTCAACCAACATGTGACAGGACTGTGGCTGGGCAGAGCAGGGCTCAAGGACTCACGGGGGCCCAGCCACTGTCACACGTCAGCCCACCCAGAGTCCACTGTGTCCAGAGCTAAGAGGGCGCACGGCACACACGGATCACCGAGGCTGAGTAGGGTCAGCCACGTGTCCCCTGCACACAACTCAGCAGGGGTGGCACTGGAGGTCAAACCTGCCTCTCTTATTGTCCCCACAACCCCACTGTCCCTACAAGGCCAGGTGACCCTCCCACAGCCCACATTACACCTGACCCCGCCATCACCCATGCCCTCACGTACTTTCCAGGCTCCTCAGGTGCTCTGTGGGGTCCTCCCTTCCCTTCCTCCATCCCTGCCTCCCTGCTTGCTGGTCCTGGCGGCCTTGCCTTTGCCGTCCTCTCTATCTGTCACGTCTCAGCCCTTGGCTCATGCAACACCCCCAAGAGAGGCCATCCTGACCCCATGGACGCCACCACACCTTGGGCTGAAGGGTCTTCTCCACTGCACCCCTCCTTCCTGATGATAGATAGATAGATGGATATGATACATGGATAGATGACAGATAAATAGATAGATATGATAGATAATAGATAAATATAAGATAAATATGATAGATGATAGATATGATATAATAGATATGATAGATGGATAGATATGATAGATGATAGATGGATAGATGATAGATAAATAGATATGATAGATGATAGATAAATATGAGATAGATAGATGATAGATGTAATAATAGATAGGTAGATAAGTAGGTAGACAGTAGATAGGTAGATAGATAATAGATGATATGTAGATAGATAGATAGGTAGGTAGGCAGATGTAGGGAAATAGAGACAGAGAGAGAGAGAAACAGAGACAAAGAGAGAGGTGGGAACCCAGGTTCCTTTGGGCCCTCTGCATCTAGATGACGCTTTCAGCGAGTGTGATGGACAATTGAGGGAGGCACGAGGGAACAGGCACCCCCACAGAGGAGGACCTGCGGCCACCCCTCCTTGCCTGGCCATCCTCCTTGCCATGTCACCCCTCAACGCCAACCCGTGCATGTGGGGGTGCATGACCAGCTGACATGGGAGTGTGGGTCAGCCCCAGGGCCAAGGGGGAAGTGGGTGAGCCAAGATCCCGGAGCATGACAAGGGCCCTGGCAGCTGATTGGCAGGGGAGTGCGCTGGGCAGGCCGTGGTTCTCACTCTTCACTGCGGCTGGAGGGTCTGGGTGGGAAGGTGGGTACAGGGAGCAGGCATGTCGGACTATGAATGCGGAGTGGGAAACACAGAACGACTCGTTGTGGGGAGACTAGGGATGGACGGGGTCCGCTGGTGGAGGGCTGGACCAGCAGGTCCAGGCTCTAGGGCCAGAGCCAGGGAGGGAGAGGCGGCTCCGTGCTCTGTCCTGCTGGCTTTCTGGGTCCTTCCTGGAAGGCCTGGCTCTGGTCTGTCCACAGCAGGCATCTGCCCGGAGTGGACAATGGGTCACCTCACACATCACAGCACACATGTGGCCGCCAGCCCCGCTCCCCTGGCCTTATCATCATGCCATTGACAGCATGGACAGCAGCCATATGGCTGTCACCATCATCGCCTGGTGCCTGCGCTCCCAGACGGACACACCAGAGGCTCAAGGCTCAGGC